>NC_000012.12:33803236-33955931 GCF_000001405.40 Homo sapiens | reverse complement strand
ATGCATTGTTCTGCCTTTGCCTCTGGATAAGTGTTCTCATCTGGCCTGTGCAGCATTTGATGCCTTTGATGACTCTCTTTCTTGAAATACTTTGACTTTGATTCCCAGAACCTTTTGAATTTCTTCCTGCATATCTGTTTCACTTCACTATCATGAACAAGTTGTCTTTTTCTTTGTCATCTCATTCAAGTTCCAGTCTCAGAAGTCTTCTCTTCCTTAACTCACACTCCTTAAATGATCTCCTATTTGATCCTGTGGCTTCAATGACCCTTTATTTGCTAATTACCAAACATTTCTCTCTCATAGGTTGTATACCTGTATCTTCAGCCACCTATTGGATATATTTCTTGGAGACTGGAGTAATCCAGGTTCTTATCCTAGATAAATATTGAATAATCTAAGTAATTATTTTTTGGTTTTCATCCAGAGGGGGAAAACAAAATAAGGATCCATATGGAGATGAAAATGAAACATTAATTTTAGATTAGAGCTATTTGGTAATTTCTAAGTTGGAGAAAGTGACAAAACTCCCATTCATTTTTTCACTTTCCTGCCAACCATCCTCGGTACGTACCCATATACTCTCTCTCCCTCGCCCCCCTTTCTCTCTCTTCTTGCCTTCAGGTTAGAAGAGAAAACTATGACCTTTCTCATATTCCATGCAGCAGAGGAACAACAGAGAGAGAAAAGAGATAAATCTTCACTAATTTTTTTTTTGGCCCCACTCTTGTCAATTTAACTCAAAGGATGTCAAAGTTTCTCTAACTTGGCAAATAGATTAGTTGTTTTTTCACACACATGGAGAGATGTTTGAGAAAGAAATAATGAGGGGGACAGAATAGTATTATTCTGATACTTATCTCTCTTTAAGGAAAATATGAAGGAGAATTAAGTTTCTACCAGAGCTCTCCAGTTGGATGTCCTAAAGGGACTTGGGTTTTGACAGACAAAACTGCAGCCTTTCATTTTACTGTTAAGTCTCAGGCTGCTTTTCCTCCTAGGCTCACTGACTCAGTGAACATAATCATCCTCCAGTTATTAAACTGAGAATGAGGATAAGACAGAAATATCCAATTCCTATTATTTCTTGATATCTTCTAGGAAATGTTAAAATATTAAAAATAGAGAAAGGTGTACATTCTTCTTCACAACAATATCACTTTTTAGCAAGTGATATTCTACAATTTTATGACGCTATTTAACTCTGTGGCTGTCATCAATTATTCGGTGATGTCGGTATTCATGAATTTACCATTGTAATATCCAACCCTCTGCTCTAAACTCTACAGTCTCATTCTGAGCTGGCTATTTTTTGAGAATTCAATTTTTTTCTACCTGAGCGATAATATCTTTGTCTCTGATATTATACAATATTTAGGTGTTGTGATTGGATATGGTTTGTTTGGCCCCTCAAAAGCTCATGTTGAAAATTGACCCCCATTGTGGTGGTGTTGGGAAGTGGGGCCCAATGGAAAGTGGGTCATTGGGGTAAATACCTCATGAATGACTTGGTTCCATTCTCTCAGTAATAAGTTCTTGCTCTTGGACATTGGACTAGTTCTCTCAGGAATGAACTAGTTCCCACAAGAGCAGGTTGTTATAAAGCAAAGTTCCTCTACTGTTTCCCCCTCCTCCGTCTTTGCAGGTATCCACTTCCTCTTTGACTTATCTGCCGTATTGTGACACAACACAACCCTCGCCTGAAGCCAAGGCTATGCCCTCAAATTTCTCAGCCTGTAGAACTAAATAAACCTCTTTTTTTTTTGATAAATTACGCAGTCCCAGATATTATTTTATACCAACAGAAAATGGACTACTAGAACAGGATTGTTCAAAAGTATGTGTAGAGTGTACATATTTCTTTGAAACTTGTGAAATAAATGGATGCTATCCAGGTCTATCTAGAAAGATTTGTAAGGATTTAAAGTCATACTTTAAATATAAGGTTCTTAGTTTATAAGTTACAAGTTCTTAGACTGTGGCTACTCGGGAGGCTGAGGCAGGAGAATGGCATGAACCCAGGAGGCGGAGCTTGCAGTGAGCCGAGATAGTGCCACTGCACTCCAGCCTGGGTGACAGAGCGAGACTCCATCTCAAAAAAAAAAAAAAAAAAAAAAGAGAGAAAGAAAAGTTACGCTGTAAGTATGAACTCTTCACACATACGAAAATCATGTTCTCTAAAAAGAAGTAAAATTCTTAGAATTGCAAAGAACACCGGAATATATTTCACAGAAATGCATTTCATTTTATCATTTATTTTGTTTTTTGTCTTGGATGAAAATGCATTTCAAAGTTTTACCATTTTAAGTATATGCTCTCAATTTTTGTTCTATTTATATACAGAAGATGGCTTAAACTTTTTCCATGAAAGTAATTTTTTAACACTCTTCAACTATGAGAAATTAAAGATTATAGGATTTCTAATAAGTTGAAATCTTTTGTAAGAGCACTGCTAAAAAGTCTTAGTTATACAAGTTTACAAGTACCAATGTGCACGGTGTCACTTTTTTATGTGATAAAGAAATAATGTTTTTCCTTTTCATGACTTTGTTCTGAATATAAGGGATAGAGAAAATAAAATAATTTTTTTAGTGGTAGTAGCTAACATGTGCGATATGGTTTTGTTGTGTCCCCACTCAACTCTCATCTTGAATTGTAGCTTCCATAATTCCTTTGTGTTGTGGGAGGGACCCGGTGGGAGAAAATTAAATCATGGGAGCAGTTTCCCCCATACTGTTCTCTTGGTAGTTAATAAATCTCATGAGATTTGATGATTTTATAAGGGGTTTTCCCTTTCACTTGTCTCTGATTCTCTCTTGTCTGCTGCCATGTAAGACATGCCTTTTGCCTTCCACCATGATTGTGAGGCCTCCTTAGCCACATGGAACTGTGAGTCCATTAAATATTTTTTTTCTTTATAAATTACCCAGTCTCAAGTATGTCTTTATCAGCAGCATAAAAACAGACTAATACAATATGTTATGCATTTATCTGTGCCTGGCTTTTTTCTGTATACCTAATTAATATAACCTTATGAGGTCATAGGTATTACAAGTGTACAGTTTTGCTGAAATGATTAGGTACAGATGTGTTTAAAAAATTAGAGGTTTTAAGCATTCAGAAAAATAATACAGTGCATATATTATAGATATATATCACCCCCAGAAGGGTCTGGGGGCAGCACAACACAATCAAACAGATTAACATTTCTATGAAGAAACTTGTAAATGTTCACACTACATGAGAAAATATTGCTATAAGTAACTCATATCTTTTCAAATATATTCTTTTTGTCAAATAAGTTTGCTATAACCTTAAAAAAATTTTAACTTTGAAAAATTTTGGATTTTATAATTGTGCTTGAGAGACCTGCATTTTATAGGTAAGGAAATTGAGGTACAAAGATATTAAGTAATTTGCACAAAATAATATTGAAAATGAGTAAGGAAGATGGAAATTGAACCCAGGAAGTTTGCCTCCAGAATCTCTCAACCTCAATTATATAGCTGTACTCATTGAGGCTGGACATTAAAGAGAAGTTGATTTATCTTCCTTAGTATTATTTTTATTCTGTGATCCTACAGATGAATTCGTTTTATAGTATGAAACTCAATACCTCATAAAAACCCATTGTTCTTTGAATCTTGACAAGAGTTCTACCACTACATGACCTTCATTCACTAATTTTAGTTTTACTTTTAGAAACAACACATGGTAAACCCACTCCTAAATGATTATAGTTTAAATATTTAAGATCTTGCCTTTTTTAAAAAAATTTCCTTTTGTTTAAACTTGCCCAGCTCATTCATATGTTACATTTTTCTCTTTTTCATAACAAGTCAAAATGCCCCCTCACAAGTATATTTCTATTAATGTCTTTTTAAAAAACACACTGAGAAAAACAGAAGTCTGTAAGCTGATTTGGTTTATTTAGAATAGAATACAATAGGATACTTATTCCTATGATAAACATAATTTTCTATTTTTGGCAACTGTATTAGTTCTCTCACTGCTATAAATAAATGCCTGAGCCTGGGTAATTTATATACAAAAAGATATTTAATTGGCTTATGACTCTACAGGCCCCACAGGAAGCATGGTGGCATCTCCTCAGCTTCTAGGGAAGCCTCAGGAAACTTACAACATGGAGTAAGGTGAAGGGAAACACGGAACTTCACATGGCCAGAAGAGGGGAAAAAAGTGAGAAGGGAGATGCTATACACTTTTAAACAGCCAGATCTCATGGGAACTCTGTTAGGAGAACAGCACTAGAGAGATGGTGCTGAGATTCCTCAGAAACCTCCCCTGTGATCCAATCACCTCCCACTGGGTCCTACCTCCAACATTGAGGATTATAACTCTATATAAGATTTGAGTGGGGACACAGATCCAAACCATATCAGAAACTAATGTGCTAGCTTTCTTACTATCTATATTCTGCTATTAATTTGTATTACATTGATGGTTAACTAATACTCATACAGAGCTTTGAGAGAGTGACATCAGCAAGATGGCAGAATAAAACCTTACAGCATTTATGCACTCATGAAAATGATAATTTGAACAAATAACAATGTATAAGCATACCTTCACAAGAGCTAAGGAATCCATGTAAGAGATTATGGCATATGGGTACAGCGCTGAAATAAGAAACGTCACATTAAAGAGAGTAAGAGTAGGAAGAACAGTTTCACATTATCTGCATCATCCTCCCCACAATCCCAGGCAACACAGCATGGAGAGAGATATCTTCTGCTTTGAAGAAGGGGAGGGAAGTGCTATGGACCCTAGTATCAGACATGCCCCAGTAAAACCCAATGCTACCCCGCCTCCTCTGACCCCAGGCTTCAGGCTGGCACCTACGGACACAAATTCCAGGACAGCCTTTATAGGCTCAGGCATCAGGCTGACATCTGCAGACTTAGTCTGCAAGCTAGCCCCTGCAGCTCTACATTCTGTGTCCTTCCAGCACCAGGCTGGTCCCTTTGGTCCCAGGCCTAAAACTGGCCCCAACAAATGCTTGCTCCAGCAGACCCAGGGTCCAGAGCCATGTGAGTAGGTGACTCTAGTCTCAGACCATCCCCCACAAACCCAGGTTTTAATACTGCTCATATGTACCCATGACTCAGGCGTGCCAACTGGAACCCTGCCTCTAGACCAACCCAGCTCCAGGCTAACCTCCACAGACTCATCTTTCAGAATAGCCTCTGAAGAGCCAGGCTCCCAGTTCCCACAGGCATAGGCTCCAACAGATCCAGAGTCCAGGTGTACACTGGTAGATCCTGATGCTGGGCTGGCCCCTGCAGATCTAGGTGCCAGATAGGTCTTCATGGACCCAGAACCATGGCGTGCCCATGCAACTCAGGCTTCAGGTACAACCACTCACTGACCCCCGCAAGACATCAGGCTACCCTGCCTAAGGACTGCAGAAGTAATCTTACCCACAAACCCAATCAGAGGCCCACCAAGAATTTCTGGATGAAGTGACTGGTGAAGGGATTTCACTGCAAAGCCAATCTGTAAAAACTGCAAAAGTTGTCTACTTCAAATGTGCAGACCCAATGGAAGGCCATAATGATCATAAAAAATTGAATAGTCAGGGAAACATGACATCACCAAAGAAACAAAATAAATCACCAGTAACTGACCCCAAAGAAATGAAAATCCACAAACTGCCTGACAAATAATTCAAAATAATCATCTTAAAGACATTAAGTGGACTACAAGAGAATACAGGTAGGAAACTCGTAGAAAAACCACACAAAAATACATAAACAAAATAATTTGAACAAAAAGATAGAAGCTATTTAAAAAGCAATCAGAAATCCTGTAGCAGAAGAATATAATGACTGAAATAAAAATTATACAGAGAGCTTCTATAGCAAACTCAATCAAGCAGAAGGAAAAATTAGCTTAAAGACAAGAGATCTGAAATTACTCAAAGGAGCAAAAGAAAAAAAATTTAAAAAGTGAAGATAGCATATATGACTTATAAGATACCATCATGTGAACCATTATATAAACTATGAGGGTCCCAAAAGTAATGGAGAGAGAGAAAGGAGAGGAGAGCTTATTCAAAAAAATAACGACAGATAACTTCCAAAATCTGGAGAAGAGAAAGAGCATCTATATCCATGAAGCCCAAATAACCACAAATAAATTAAATAGAAAGAGATATTCCCTAAGGCACATTATTATCAATTCTAAAAATTAAAAACAGAATTTTGAAAGCAGGAGAAAAGCAACTCATCACATACAAAGGAACAGTCATAAGACTATCAGAAGATTTCTTAGTAGAAACCTTGCAGACAAGGAGAGAGTGGAATGATATATTCAGAGTGCTGAAAGCAAAAAAAAAACCCTGTAAACTAAGAATACTATACCAAGCAAGGCTGTTATTTAGCTGTGCAACTATGATAAAGACTTTTACAGGCTAATAAAAGCTGTAAGAGTTAATCTGCCATTAGAACTGCCTTATAAGAAATACTAAAAAGATTTCTTTAATTTGAAACAAACAGACCCTAACTAAGAGTCACCTTTGCTCCAGTTCCCAACAAGTTCCTCATCTCCAACTGAGGCCACCTCAGCCTGGACCTTATTGTTCATATCACTATCAGCATTTTTGTTAAGCTATTCAACAAGCCTCTAGGCAGTTCCAAACTTTCCCACATTTTCCTGTCTTCTTTTGAGCCCTCCAAACTGTTCCAACCTCTTTCTGTTACCCAGTTCCAAAGTTGTTTCCACATTTTTGGGTATCTTTTCAGCAATGCCCTGCTCTACTGGTACCAATTTACTGTATTAGTCTGTTTTCACGCTGCTGATAAAGACATACCCGAGAATGGGTAATTTATACAGGAAAAAGAGTATAATGGACTCACAGTTCCACATGGCTAGGGAGGCCTCACAATCATGGCAGAAGGCAAGGAGGAGCAAGTCATGTCTTATATGGATGGCAGCAGGCAAAAAGAGAGTTCATGCAGGGGAATTCCTCTTTTTAAAACCATCAGATCTCATGAGACTTATTCACTATCACAAGAACAGTGAAGGTTCCAATTACCTCCCACCGGGTTCCTCTCATGACACATGGGAATTGTGGGAGTTACAATTCAAAATGAGATTTGGGTGGGGACACAGCCAAACCATATCATACTGTTTTATTGAAGTGACGATATATTTCTCTCTGACATTTCCCTAATCAACGGATAAGATAATATGATCAAAATTATTTTACTGTTCCTTACTTTGAGTAAGTGAGCAATGATGCTCCCTGCAGGTCATCTTATTTTTCACATACTAATAAACAATTTCTTTAACAATTGATTCTAGAAATTTACTAAGTATCAACCGTGAGGTTGTCATTTCCAGTAGTTACTAGTACCTTGATTTTGGAAATTCAAGCAGTTCTCCTAATATTCTTGATTTCTTTTAATATAAATGTTCCTAGATGGTATATAAATGTTCTTTCATTAATCTGTTATAAAATTAATAAGGACTTGGATACTTGAGCATATTAAAACTACTTTGTCTTTCTCATTACATTCTTACCTCTAATGAACTGCTACTGCTTTTTTCCCATTGTTTTGCACTTTCCAATTATAGGCCTATTCAGACTGTTAGAGAAGATATGTTTATGTGTGTGTTTTTTTCTGTAACCTGTTAATATAATGTCATATCTACCAATCAATAGTTTATTATTTCTTCTTCCTATTTATTTTTATTTACTAATGACAATAATAACTAACCTTTAAGAGATTTTACATGTGCCACAAGTTTTTTATGCTTCTTCTTAATCTTCAAAATGATCTTAAGAGACTGGCATTCTTATTATCCTCATCCTCAGAAGAAGGGAGTGTTTATCTTGGAAATATGTTTCCATTCACATAGCAGACTAGGGCAATGGCTGCCAAAAAAAATTAGTAATAGAACTAGAGGTCAGTTAATTGGTTCTTAATTAGCTGATTTGCGTTCTGGTCTCTGAACTAGTCAAAAACTCCATTATCATCAACTATATATTAAAATTTGGTTGTAAACCTAATTTCACAAGATAAACTGTAACAAATACAGACAGAGAGTGAAAACAATTTGCTCTTGTGGGTGAAAGATTCATTTTATGTTAACTAGCTTAATATTAAATCTTGCAAATAAAAATACAAAGTGGCCTCTTTTAGGAAGACTGAAAGACTTTGAGAAAAACAATAAAACACCTCATTCATCATAGCCTTCTATTTAGAAATAAACCAAAGCCTTTCATTTTAAGAAACTTAAGTTTTAAAGAATGAGCGTAAAGAAGTCACTGCTTAAAGACAAAGTCACATTTGATGACCTGATGAGGAAACTGATTGAAAGCATTTTCTGCCTCAAATGGCCTTAGACCTGTTTAGCTTTATCTCCGTGATTTGAAGCTTTCAAGGTGTATGCTTTTTTTCTATTTTCTAATCTTTCCAAAACATTTTGGGAAGACTGAACATTTATCAAAAACATACAAAAACTTAGAAATATATTTTTTCCATTTTCTGCTATTTATTTTCAGGGAAGCTAAAGGGGTTTATAGATTTACCAGTTATAAGGAAGCTTGTTATCATGCATGTTTTCTCTACGGCAAATCCTGATCCACAGAATAGCGAGGCAAGAGAAAATGCATCCTTCTGATACCTCATGATGGCAAAGGACAGACACTTAAACACAGCCAGACCTACCTAAAATGGTGTATGAAGTATTTTGAGGTCAAACAAAAGTTTTCTCCCTAAAATATCATAATTATTCTTGCTTATCAGTGCCTGGGTCATTCACCAATAAATCATTTTTCTACTGTTCAAGAATTTTGTATCTCAGAAGGCAACACTACAACCTGAGAAGCAGCTCATTAGTAACTGTTACAGCTCAGCATGAACTGGTAAGTTGCTTATCTCAGCTTATCAAAGAATAGCATGTTATCCAAGAAGGATAGATTTTAATAGGGCTGGAAACATCTTGAACTTCAACCGTGGCATGGAGAGAAAAAGGGAGGAATACGTTATGGATTTGCATGTCTTCACAGGGCAGAACAGGCGGATCTTATTTTTTTTTTAGGTTATTTTCTTCAGCTGTTAGGGAACTGTCTCCTAGAAAGGACTAAATTTAGCATTGCAAACATTATCAATAGTAACTGGAATTCCATTTCTTTATAAGCAGGCTTCCTGTCAACTGGTTACTATTTGAGGGTTTTTTTTTTTTCAAACCAAAATTTGAGGATTTTTTTGGTTGATAATACACTTTGAAATGTTCCAGAGATGTCTTGGTATCTTTTTTTGTATTATGCATCAAACCCATCCTGGGTTGACATTTAATAGAATAATATTCCATATGAAAAATTGCTTACTTCAATTTTCCTGTTAGATAACAGAATCTTAATTATAAAGGTGATATAGTTCATTCAATTTAGTTATCTAGCTGAAACTAACCAAGAAAGGGTTTTATAATTAAGAATTTTATGAAGACAACAAAAAATGTAATGGTGGCTAAATCTACATTATTGTACAGTAAAATTGTAATAATTATATAAAGCAAAGTACATAATTATTATGTAGGGTCTGACATCAATTTCTCTTCATTAGAGATTGGTAAAGCCTCTTTGCCAAGGATTGACTAAAGAACGTGTTTCTACTTTGATCTGTTTTTAGTTTTCCTTTCTTTTTTTAAAAAAAAAAATAACATCCAAGTTCTGTCTTTTATATGTGATTTACCCTAATAACTCCGCTGGCAATATTAGTTATTATTGCTTCTTTGATATTATAAATTTCATTAGTTATTAATCTCTGCATCTGAAATTGCTTAAAGCTTTGAATGTAAAATTTTAAAGTTTCATAAGCTGAATTTATTTTAAAAATAAATTTAGTTATTCCCTTTAGCATAAAACTGGCACATATATAACATAAAAATTTAAATAAGAAAATAACTATCCATTAGTCTACTAAACTGTATATTTCCTTTATGATTTTTAATGCATCTTTATGTACATAAAATTTCTAAGTCTCTGATGTCTGTTTTGTATCTTTTACCTTTCACACCAGAGAATGTGCAAGGCAGGGTAGAATTTTATTGAGTGACAGAAAAGTTCTCGATAGTGAGAGGTGACCAGAAATGGGTAGCTGTCTGTATGGCTGAGTCCGGGGTTATTATGAGCTTGGAATGGGGGCGTTCATGCGGATTGGTCCATGAGTGGTCTTGGAAAAAGCATCATTCAGTTCGTTAAAAGGCACTATCCAGAAGGAACCAATTCAGAGAGAGAGTAGAGTAGGTAAGACAGGGATAGAAGTTTTCACTCCAGTCATGGACTCTATCTGGAACTGGCAGCTCAGTCCTCAGGTTGAAGGTTGAGCCCTACCAGGGACCCGCTGCTGTCTGCCTTGGAATTTGTCGATCTCCTGTCGCTATCACCATGACTAAGTACTGGGTACCCCTCTCATAGCTCACAAATATTAACTTGGGTATCCCAGAAATGCCTTGGGAAACTTGATTCTTTTCCTGTATCCCGAGTTCTTAATGACTGAGATCTGCCTCATTCCTCTGTGCTCTCACTGACCATGTTTTCTGCCTGGAATCTCATGTTGCCTAGTAGCCTTCACCTCAAATGGCATTTTTCACTCCTGACCCCCTGATCCATCTGTTATCACTCTCTGATAATGATTAGCCAGCCACCTGGAGTGATCTTTTGGAGTTTCACCTATCCTAACTGTACTTGAGTAACCAGTTTGATTTTCATCTCCATTGAGATTCCTGCATTACTATTTCTTGAATGTCTTTGCTTCTGGTTTCCTTAACTCTTTCCCTAGGATAACTCAACTCTATCCTTGACACTGTGTTTAGAATGCTCCTTTTCTTGCATTCCTTCTAGTGCCTCTCACCAGTCTTTTGTGCAGAAATCAGTCTTTGGTACAAAAATCTGTTATATTGCTGGGTTTCATCTTCAATTTCTTCAATGTTCCTAATTTAAATGACAGCGCTAATAGTTTATCGTTCTGACTACTGAAAGTTGCTTTCTTTCAAAGGCATTTTTGTGTTTGTTTACTTTTGAGTAGTGAATCATGAACATTCATACTCACTGAGTAATTTAGCAAGACAATTCAATTTATTATTATCACCAGTTCTACTGATTCTGCAGGGTAATGGTGTTTTCTGACTTAAGTGATTAAAATGTTTTTCACTTCAAAAGCTTTTAGAAACATTTGTTTACTGTTACTTAAAAGACTAATTGTAATGTTGGGCTATAAATATGCTTATTCTTCAGACATTTTTTCTTCAGGGTAGTTGATTTCGTTATCTCTCAGTACTCTTGTGATTGCAATTAAATTGAAAGCAGTGTTATAAAATATACATTATTTTTGTAAGCTGAGATGATAGCTCTCAATCTTACCAAATACAAATTTTGAAAGCTGTAACATTTTTTAATCTACTTACATTTATAGGACTATAATTTTTGGACAAGCATATGTCTACATTATTCACATAACTATTATCTTTGTCAATACACAAATGAATAACAAAAGATAAAAGATCTGATTTACGTATCTAGTTATCAGAATTCAGTTAGGCTTAATAGCCTTTATCAGGAATAGCATAAAAGCCTGTAAGATGGTAATTTATTTAGGTTTGCATAGATGTGATAGAAACACAAAATGACAGTAGCTCAAATATGGTGAAGGTTTGTTTCTCATGAAAGTATGAATTTAGGTAATTCAAGGCTGTTATGGTAATCTGCAGATTTATTTGGTGATGTGGTCTTTATTCTAAAGTTTCAAAGTAGAGAGAGCTCCAAGAATTCCTCTTTCAAACAGTAAGATAAAGAAAATAGGGTCATCAGGGGCACAATCCTGTAGTTTAAGGACACGATCCAGACATTTTATACACCACTTCCATTTACATTTTCTTAGTGACAGCTTAGTCATGCAACCACACCTATTTGCAAGGGAGGGTAGGAAATGAAGTCTTTGTTCTGGGTAGCCATGTGCCCAGGAATAGCCATCAGTCTATGATAGGGTTGAAATGTGCTTTTATATAATATATTCTGTATGAATGTGAATTTTATTGCAGTGAAGTTCTTTAAGACAGTGGTACCCAAACATTTCTTCCAACCAAAAGTGAAATCCAACATATAAACTAGAGAAAGCTGAGCTACCTGATTAAAATGGTGGGTATAGGAATGCTACCTGTATCACGCATCTGCCTCTGCTCCCAATTAATCCAGTCTTGCAAAGGAGTTTGAGGTTTCTAGGCCTTCATGGACCAGTATATAAAACATTCCTTTATAGTTTTAAATAGGTATTGATGTGTAATAAGGAACATATTTTGACCACTGTTGAAAAATCAATAGGTATTGCTAAGAAGAAATAAAATAATTTTATTGAGAGCAAGAAACAACCTCAGATAAGATTCCTTCAACTTTTGGTTAAATAATTTATTTTTCAAATGATATCTATATGGTGATACCTGGGAGAGGCAAGTAATACTTTTTTTGTAAACAAATGCTCACAATATTATTTCTGAATCAGGAAGCCATTATTAATTTATATTCATCAAACTGCTAAGCAATGGCATTGTATTATATGTTTGAAATAACCAGATATTTTTAAAAGCTTAACTAATGACTTTTCCATATCAGTACCTGTGTCTGACTTTAGAATGTGTGTGTGTTTTTTTAAATTTTATCCTTAAAATAAGTCTGCAAGCATGCCAGGTAATGAGATTTTGTTAAGCCTAACTTTAAATCTTCAAATGCAATAAAGGAAGCCTTGCTTTTAAGGATATTTATAAGAAGTTTTATTTTAAGAAAGTAGACTGATTCTGTGCTTTGATCTACATCAACAGAGGATCATAGAGTTTTTGAACTGCATGCTGGAGAAGGACTTTAAGGACTAGGTCCAATGACCCATCCAATGTTACATGTATTTTCATACTAAAAGGCCCAAGCTATTAATGAACTGCACCACAGGGGGACTTCATTTAAGGGACACATACATTATCACTAATAATGTGATTTTGCATTTTCTGTTTCTTCATTACGTTTTTGAAAGATCACAAATATTATTATTTCCTTCAATACAGGCACAGGAATGACTTGATAAAGCAATTGTTAAGTTACTAAACCTACTTATATTTATTGTGCGAAAAGTGGCTGTTAATTGTTTAATTGTGGCCTGAGGGAAATTACTTGGAGATACATTTAATTTTGACTTATAGTCACATGAAAGGTGACCTCTAGACATGTCTGTAGAAAATGTGGAAACAAACACTGAAAAATTATTATGAACATTATATTTGTGGGGCTCCTTTTCATTCAGTCTATTAGAAGGTTTTCCAGCAAATAAATCATCTGAACAGCAATATAACTAGAGGTGTAGAACATAGCATCGAGTTCTGATATTAAACCAACCTGGGAGAGATAGAGTTTATATTACCTTTCTATTACTGCAGTAACAAATTACTGCAAACTTGGTGGCTTAAAACAATTTACATTTATTCTCTTACAGTTTTGGAGATCTGAATTCCAAAATTATCTTACTGGTTTAAAGTCAAGGTGTCGGCAGGGACATGCTCCCTCTGGAGGTTCTAGGAGATAATTCATTTCCAAGGTTTTCCCATTCCTCAGCTTGCGACCCCCATTCTACATCTTTAAAGTCAGACACATCAGCTACAGTTCTGCCCATACCACATTCATTTTACCTTCTCTTCTGTCTCCTTCTTCCACATGTAAGGACCTGTGTTAACATTGTAAGCACCTGGACAATCCATGCTATCTCTCTGTTTTAGGGATATTTGATTAGCAACCTTAATTCAACCTGCAATTTAATTCTCCTTGTAATTGGCCATGCAGCCTTACATATCCACAGATTCTGGGGATTAGGGTATGGGATCTTTCAGGGGATGTTATTCTGTCTATCTCAAGGTTCTAAGGCAATATTTCCAAGAATTTTACAGAGTTCTTAATTATATTATACATAGAGCTGAAATTTTAAGGAAGGAATAGTTTATTTTCTGGTTAGAGTAAAGAAGACAAAGCATTAAGTTGCCTTCTCAATATCTCTACTTAGCCAACACAAAATAGATTTTCTTCTCACTTGTCTCCTTACTTATAAAAACATCAACAGCACAGAGCAATAAAGTCAAATAAAAATCTCACTATGATAGAGTATTTGTAAAGAATTAGCAGTAAAAATCTAGGTGGCAAATTTACTTGTTACAATTACTAAAGAATATGAATTCTCAAATTTAGTAGAAATGCTGTCTTCATAGTCAAGGGCCTCAAGTCAGTTCTAAAATATTAATTTCTCTCATTAGTAATGTTCTTGTTTCCCTGAAAAAAAAAAAGTTAATGTTTATGCTGTCACATAATACTTTAGCATCTGCTTTTTTCATCCATCCCCCAAGGGTAAGAAAATTGTTAAGCTTTTTCCTCCTCTCTTGGAATTCATCAGTTACTGTCAATGAAGGGCCTGTGCTATGCACAGTAATGTGCTATGTTTTATGGACATGAAACGTAAAAGAGCAACAACACATGTTTCTTGCCCTGGAATATCAGTCAAAACAGTGGCGTTAATTTTGAGATACTAAAGACAGCATATGATCCTTCACATCATCACAATATAGTGACCCAATATCTCTGAAGGGAAAGAAAAAGGGCTTATATGAAATGTGCAAACATGAAGTATGATAAAAATGAAAATTAACTTTTGGTTTGCAAGAGTAAATATTGAAATATTTTCATTAAGTTAGAATTTTAAAACGCCAGTATATGAATCCAAACTCATTGATACATTTACTGTCTCTTTATCAGATCATGCCTCCTCCATGATGCCTGTGAGAGGAAAAGATACTACCAATAAAGGCTGCAGTCTGAGCTTTTACTAAGATATGGACATCCAATACACAGCCTGTTGGACATTTTTAAGTTAAAACAAAAATATTTTCCTAATTAGCTAGTCCAAATGAAAGTGCAGTAGTGTGAAAGACCTTCAAGAAGAGTTATTCCACTAACTTCCAAAGGTTATCAGATCTTGTTTTAAAGAGAGTTGAAAGTTATTATAAATTAGAATCATTCAAGTTTAATTTTGCTAATATTCTGAAATTGGGCACTATGCATAAATATCAGCACTAATAAACATACTGGCCTGGAGTTGGAGTCATGTCTTACATCCACATAACAAATTGATTTCGCCTTTTCTGAAAATGTATAATGTAAAATTCATATGTGTGGTACATATATACTAACACATCTCACCATTTAACAAAGCCAGACATCTCAATTGTAGGATAATACTGTTAGCTAATTATGACTGTAGGGAGAAACTTACTAAAATGAACTTATATTTACAAGGGAGTAATAACTTGTTTTCATGCCTTTGATTGGCACCATAGACTGACCTCGGTCTTCTTTCATTTTTTAAGAAAGCATTATTTGATCCTTGTTATTGACATTTTGTTTGCCACTCTTAGCAGCTGTTTAACAATTACATTTATAAACTTGACAGGAGGCTTTTAGAAAATGGCTGAGAGTCTGTAATTGGGAAATGTACTTCATTTTTCTTGCTTCTGTTTTCTCTTCATAATAAGATGTTTGTTCCTTGTAAATAACTTTCTTAACTGTGTTATTGCCTTGGGGAGTACATGCAGTCGCTCTGACCCAGGCAGCCTTATTATGGTGGTGGGGCCCTGGCGTCAGGCAATATTCAGACCAGCCAGGGCCCATTGTCACCTTCTTTCACTGCTGCTTGCCATGGCTGGAAATAAAGGGCAACAGTAATTACTTCTCAAAAGGTAGTTGCTGAGAAGGCATTTTTAAAGCGATATTGAAAGAAAGTTAATAAAGGCATACCTATAGAAAAACAGAATAGAATTTGGAAGACCAGAAGGAAGTTTATTTTAGAAGAGATACTGCCTCTCTTTCTTTCTCTTTCTCTGGTGCTGATCAGGATTTACTAGCTCTTTCTACTAGTTCCTGAAGAAGAACAAACTGTACATCACTCCCTTTTATGAAACACTACCTCATTTCTAACTCAGTGAGATATAAATTAGCATAGGTACACTTGAGGCTACAACACATAATTTTCTGAGGTTATTTGAAGGGTTACAAAAGAGAGAAATAGGCTACACATAGGATTGTCTTAGTCCATTTTGTGCTGCTATAACGTAATACCACAGACAGGATAATTTAGAAATAACAAAAGTTTATTGGATCATGGTTCTTGAGGCTGGGAAGTCCAACATTGAGGGGCCAGCATCTGGAAAGAGTCTTCTTGTGGCATCATCCCATGGTGCAAGGGGAAAAAAAGGGTGAGAGAGAAAGAATGAGAGAAGGGGGCAAACTTGTTTTTCATAAGGAACCCGCTCCTGTGATAATGATATTAATCCACTCATGATGGAAGAGCCCACATGACCTAATCACTCACTCTAAATACTATTTTAAGTACTTAGTGCAGTATTAAAAAGATTCCACCTCTTGATGCTGTTACAATAGCAGCTAAATTTCAACACGATTTTGGAAGAACCAAACATTTAAACCATAGCAGGGGTCATGATTATAATCCTGGTAGAATGCCTATGAATGAGTCAAACAGCCTCCTCTGCCCCATAGTGGGCAAGGCCAAGAGCCTCTCCACTGTGTCAGTGGGGGTTGTATTAGTTCTTGTGAATCCTATGGAAACCACAAGGGTCTTATTGCATGGGTTCAATGAGCCTGGTCTCCTCTCCAATTCATCAGGGTGTTGGGCTCACAGATGAAATAATACACCGTTGTGTCTTACTCTGCTGGGGCTGCCAGAGCACAACACCTTAGACTGGGTGGCTTAAACAACAGAAATTTATTTTTCACAGTTCTGGTAGCTAGATATCCAGATTAACATTGGTGGGATTGGTTTCTGGCGAGGGCTCTCTTTCTGCTTTTCAGACTGCTGCCTTCTTGCTTTGTGCACACATGACATTTCCTCAGTGTGTGCTGCTGAAGAGATTGAGAACAAGCTCTCTGATATTTCATTTTTGTAAGGGCACTAATCCCACCATACCAGGACCTTGCCTTCATGACCCAAATACCTTCCAAAGACCCTATGCCCAAATATTATCACACTGCGAGTGAGAGCTTCAACATATGAATTTTGTGGGGACAAAAAATTTAGTACATAACACTTTCCCTCAGATTGTTCCTAAGAAAACTTTGGGTGCTTGTAATTAGGGTTACACAATCTAAGCAAACTTCAAGATTACAAAAGATTTTAAAAGGGCCTGAGGGTACATTGCTAGCAAAAGTGACAAAATCTGGTGGTCTGATTCTTGTCCATTGAGTGAACAAGGAAGTATAGGATACTATCTATAACTATAGTTAACTTCTTTTTTATGTTTCACTTCCTCTCAAAACAATTCATAAGTAATTTGACAATATTATGAATTATGGATTCCAAACAATGATACTCTACTGGATGTAAAACTTTGACATACTAGATCATAAATTAGAAAAATATAGACTCTAGCCAGCTTTGCAGCAAGGAAACATTATTAGGAAGAAATGCATTAATCCATGTATTCTGCATAATATGCATATTAATTTTTATAAGATTTTAAGCATTAATATCATCTAAATTTATGTAAGTTTGTTTTACATCTGCACCTGTCGTGTTTATGGTGTATCCTATTTATTGATATTTTTAAGAGCTTTAGGCATAAGAGCAGTAGGCTGAAATTGTTAAATTACCTACTTGATATTAAAAATGTCAGTTGATTAATCAAAAGAATTCCATCTAATTAATTAAACACCATTACATTTAACCTTTTCAGCTTAGGAAAATCCAACCACATGTAGGGAGCTGGCTCCTACACCGTATTATCTGTAGCACAGTCTTACTTGTTAGGCTATACCCATATTGTCTTGTCTTATAGTTGGAATAGTTTTCCTCGGGGTGGCTAACAAGAAGAAATGGATTTTTTAGTAATCAAAGTCATACTAAGTAACACATTCTTCTTGAATGCATAGCCAAAGTCATACTTCTCTGTGTTTGCTGTACCTACTTCTGTTTCCTGATCAATAAATATTTCATCAGCAATGACACAAGTAATAGAGTTAAAAGAGCATGTTGCACAGGCTTTATATAATCAGTCCTCTAATACTACTTAGATTCTATTAGAATATTTTGTTTGTGTGATTTTTTATTTTTAATAGCTCAGAAAATACTACTTATATTAGGGGCATATCCTAAGTTTTAGAGATTGTAGGTAAGATATACAAATAATGTTTTGAAAATATTGGCCTACAAAGCCCAGAGGTTGTGCAAACCAGAAAGTCTGAATTAGAAGCAGATGTAAAATATTGTTGCCTAAACCCACTTAGTTATAGGAATGCAGTAACTATATGACTAAAAATTCATTTAATTCTTACAGTTTGGGGTCATGTAGATATGCTAAAGCATATATTAATAAAAATATAAGCAAACCAAAGCAAGATTCCAGTTGAAGAAGCAGAAATGGAAAGTTTTTTTGGATATATTATCATATAGAGAATGTCATTTTATAGACAAGGTATTTCTAATAAAAGTTTCATGATCCATAAGCCTTTTGAAATCAAGGATTAATTTTCTTTTTGTTTCCAGGCACTTGCTCAGTATGATTGTTGGTATTATTGATGACGTTGTTGTTAACTTATCTTGGCTTTCACTGTGGAAAATACTAATTTGTGTCTGGGATTCTACATACTTTTCCTTGTCTTTTTTTGTGTGCCGGGAAAGGGGAGGTGAGTCCTAGCCATACAAATAAGGATGAAAAGTTGTTGCCAAAAATAGCTATAACTCATTGACACTGAATACATGGAAGGCACTCTGCAAAACACTTAAATTACCTCATTTTATCTCAAGTATTAGGACCCATCTTTTGCAGATGAAGATACAGAAACAGAAGCACAAAGAGATCAAGTAACTTGCCACATAATACATATTCTATAAATTATAGTCAGGATTTGAACTGATGTTGGTCAAACTCCAGAACCTATACTGTAGAGTTTCACGATTTTGTGGCTAGGGCTTCATTTTAGGAATTGACAAACCAGAAAGAAGGTGAAAGTTGTTCAGCACAACCCCTTTAAGTGCATACTTAGGACATGTGAAAAATAGATCTGTCTAGGGAGATTCCATGCCTCAGGGCCCAGAATAAAGTACCTGAGGGACAATTAGCAGCTTAAAGCTTTCTTCTCTAATTCAAATCTTGGAAATTTAAGTTATTATATTCAGGTTAATACAGGTGGGAGATGTAGGATAATGCTAATCTGTAACACTGCTCTAAGAATAAAAATTTTCTGCTAACAAAGTGGCTAGAGGTAGTGAAATATTGATTTCTTTTTCTTTTTTTTCTTTTTTCTTTTCTTTTAATTATACTTAAAGTTCTAGGGTACATGTGCACAACGTGCTGGTTTGTTATATATGTATACATGTGCCATGTTGGTGTGCTGCACCCATTAACTCATCATTTACATTAGGTATATCTCCTAATGCTTTCCCTCCCCCCTGCCCCCCCCACAACTGGCCCTGGTGTGTGATGTTCCCTTCCTGTGTCCAGGTGTTCTCGTTGTTCAATTCCTACCTATCAGTGAGAACTTGCAGTGTTTGGTTTTTTGTTCTTGCGATAGTTCGCTGAGAAAGATGCTTTCAAGCTTCATCCATGTCCCTACAAACGACATGAACTCATCCTTTTTTATGGCTGCATAGTATTCCATGGTGTATATGTGCCACATTTTCTTAATCCAGCCTATCATTGATGGACATTTGGGTTGGTTCCAAGTCTTTGCTATTGTGAATAGTGCCGCAATAAACATACAGGTGCATGTGCCTTTATAGCAGCATGATTTATAATCCTTTGGGTAGATACCCAGTAATGGGATGGCTGGGTCAAATGGTATTTCTAGTTCTAGATCCTTGAGGAATCACCACACTGTCTTCCACAGTGGTTGAACTAGTTTACAGTCCCACCAACAGTGTAAAAGTGTTCCTATTTCTCCACATCCTCTCCAGCACCTGTTGTTTCCTGACATTTTAATGATCACCATTCTAACTGGTGTGAGATGGTATCTCATTGTGGTTTTGATTTGCATTTCTCTGATGGCCAGTGACGATTAGCATTTTTCCATGTGTCTTTTGGCTGCATAAATGTCTTCATTTGAGAAGTGTCTGTTCATATCCTTCGCCTACTTGTCAATGGGGTTGTTTTTTTCTTGTAAATTTGTTTGAGTTCTTTGTAGATTCTGGATATTAGCCTTTTGTCAGATGAGTAGATTGCAAAAATTTCCTCCCATTCTGTAGGTTGCCTGTTCACTCTGATGGTCATTTCTTTTGCTGTGCAGAAGCTCTTTAATTAGATCCCATTTGTCAATTTTGGCTTTTGTTGCCATTGCTTTTGGTGTTTTAGACATGAAGTCCTTGCCCATGCCTATGTCCTGAATGGTATTGCCTAGGTTTTCTTTTAGGGTTTTTATGGTTTTAGGTCTGAAATTTAAGTCTTTAATCCATCTTGAATTAATTTGTGTATAAGGTGTAAGGAAGGGATCCAGTTTCAGCTTCCTACATATGGCTAGCCAGTTTTCCCAGCACCATTTATTAAATAGGGAATCCTTTCCCCATTTCTTGTTTTTGTAAGGTTTGTCAAAGACCAGATGTTTGTAGATCTGTGGTATTATTTCTGAGGGCTCTGTTCTTTTCCATTTGTCTATATCTCCGTTTTGGTACCAGTACCATGCTGTTTTGGTTACTGTAGCCTTGTAGTATAGTTTGAAGTCAGGTAGCGTGATGCCTCCAGCTTTGTTCTTTTGGCTTAGGAATGTCTTGGCAATGTGGGCTCTTTTTTGGCTCCATATGAACTTTAAAGTAGTTTTTTCCAATTCTGTGAAGAAAGTCGTTGGTAGCTTGATGGGGATAGCATTGAGTCTATAAATTACCTTGGGCAGTATGGCCATTTTCACGATATTGATTCTTCCTAGCCATGAGCATGGAATGTTCTTCCATTTGTTTGTGTCCTCTTTTATTTCATTGAGCAGAGGTTTGTAGCTCTCCTTGAAGGGGTCCTTCACATCCCTTGTAAGTTGGACTCCTAGATATTTTATTCTCTCTGAAGCAATTGTGAATGGGAGTTCACTCATGATTTGGCTCTCTGTTTGTCTGTAATTGGTGTATAAGAATGCTTGTGATTTTTGCACATTGATTTTGTATCTTGAGACTTTGCTGAAGTTGCTTATCAGCTTAAAGAGATTTGGGGCTGAGATGATGGGGTTTTCTAAATATACAATCATGTCATCTGCAAACAGGGACAATTTGACTTCCTCTTTTCCTAATTGAATACCCTTTATTTCTTTCTCCTGCCTAATTGCCCTGGCCAGAACTTCCAACACTATGTTAAATAGGAGTGGTGAGAGAGGGCATCCCTGTCTTGTGCCAGTTTTCAAAGGGAATGCTTCCAGTTTTTGCCCATTCAGTATGATATTGGCTGTGTGTTTGTCATAAATAGCTCTTATTATTTTGATATACATCCCGTCAATACCTAATTTATTAAGAGTTTTTAGCATGAAGGGTTGTTGAATTTTGTCAATGGCTTTTCTGCATCTATTGAGATAATCACGTGGTTTTTGTCATTGGCTCTGTTTATATGCTGGATTACGTTTATTGACTTGCGTGTGTTGAACCAGCCTTTCATCCAAGGGATGAAGCCCACTTGTTCTTGGTGGATAAGCTTTTTGATATGCTGCTGGATTTGGTTTGCCAGTATTTTATTGAGGATTTTTACATCAATGTTCATCAGGGATATTGGTCTAAAATTCTCTTTTTTTATTGTATCTCTGCCAGGCTTTGATATCAGGATGATGCTGGCCTCATAAAATGAGTTAGGGAGGATTCCCTCTTTTTCTATTGATTGGAATAGTTTCAGAAGGAATGGTACCAGCTCCTCCTTGTACCTCTGGTAGAATTCGGCTGTGAATCCATCTGGTCCTGGACTTTTTTTGCTTGGGAGGCTGTTAATTATTGCCTCAATTTCAGAGCCTGTTATTAATATATTTAGGGATTCAACTTCTTCCTGGTTTAGTCTTGGGAGGGTGTATGTGTCAAGGGATTTATCCATTTCTTCTAGATTTTCTAGTTTATTTGTGTAGAGGTGTTTGTAGTATTCTCTGATGGTAGCTTGTATTTCTGTGAGATCGGTGGTGATATCCCCTTTATCATTTTTTATTGCGTCTATTTGATTCTTCTCTTTTCTTCTTTATTAGTCTTGCTAGTGGTCTATCAATTTTGTTGATCTTTTCAAAAAACCAGCTCCTGGATTCACTGATCTTTTTGAAGGATTTTCTGTAACTCTATCTCCTTCAGTTCTTCTCTGATCTTAGTTATTTCTTGCCTTCTGCTAGCTTTTGAATGTGTTTGCTCTTGCTTCTCTAGTTCTTTTAATTGTGATGTTAGGGTGTCATTTGAGATCTTTCCTGCTTTCTCTTGTGGGCATTTAGTGCTATAAGTTTCCCTGTACACACTGCTTTAAATGTGTCCCAGAGATTCTGGTATGTTATGTGTTTGTTCTCATTGGTTTCAAAGAACATCTTTACTTCTGCCTTCATTTCGTTATGTACCCAGTAGTCATTCAGGAGCAGGTTGTTCAGTTTCCGTGTAGTTGAGCGGTTTTGAGTGAGTTTCTTAATCCTGAGTTCTAGTTTGATTGCACTGTGGTCTGAGAGACAGTTTGTTATAATTTCTATTCTTTTACATTTGCTGAGGAGTGCTTTGCTTCCAACTATGTGGTCAATTTTGGAATAGGTGTGGTGTGGTGCTGAAAAGAATGTATATTCTGTTGATTTGGGGTGGAGAGTTCTGTAGATGTCTATTACGTCCGCTTGGTGCCGAGCTGAGTTCAATTCCTGGATATCCTTGTTAACTTTCTGTCTCATTGATCTGTCTAATGTTGACAGTGGGGTGTTAGAGTCTCCCATTATTATTGTGTGGGAGTCTAAGTCTCTTTTAGGTCTCTAAGGACTTGCTTTATGAATCTGGGTGCTCCTGTATTGGGTGCATATATATTTAGGATAGTTAGCTCTTCTTGTTGAATTGATCCCTTTACCATTATGTAATGGCCTTCTTTGTCTCTTTTGATCTTTGTTGGTTTAAAGTCGGTTTTATCAGAGACTAGGATTGCATCCCCTGCCTTTTTTTTTTGTTTTTTTTGTAGATCTTTCTCCATCTCTTTATTTTGAGCCTATGTGTGTCTCTGCACATGAGATGGGTTTCCTGAATACAGCACACTGATGGGTCTTGACTCTTTATCCAATTTGCCAGTCTGTGTCTTTTAATTGGAGCATTTAGCCCATTTACATTTAAGGTTAATATTGTTATGTGTGAATTTGATCCTGTCATTATGATGTTAGCTGGTTATTTTGCTCGTTAGTTGATGCAGTTTCCTCCTAGCCTCAATGGTCTTTACATTTTGGCATGTTTTTGCTGTGGCTGGTACTGGTTTTTCCTTTCCATGTTTAGTGTTTCCTTCAGGAGCTCTTTTAGGGGAGGCCTGGTGGTGACAAAATTCCTCAGCATTTGTTGTCTGTAAAGTATTTTATTTCTCCTTCACTTATGAAGCTTAGTTTGGCTGGATATGAAATTCTGGGTTGAAAATTCTTTTCTTTAAGAATGTTGAATACTGGCCCCCACTGTCTTCTGGCTTGTAGAGTTTCTGCCGAGAGATCAGCTGTTAGTCTGATGGGCTTCCCTTTGTGAGTGACCCGACCTTTCTCTCTGGCTGCCCTTAACATTTTCTCCTTCATTTCAACTTTGGTGAATCTGACAATTATGTGTCTTGGAGTTGCTCTTCTCAAGGAGTATCTTTGTGTTGTTCTCTGTATTTTCTGAATTTCAATACTGTCCTGCCTTGCTAGATTGGGGAATTTCACCTGGATAATATCTAACAGAGTGTTTTCCAACTTGGTTCAATTCTCCCCATCACTTTCAGGTACACCAATCAGACATAGATTTGGTCTTTTCACATAGTCCCATATTCCTTGGAGGCCTTATTGGTTTCTTTTTATTTTTTTTCTCTAAACTTCTCTTCTCGCTTCATTTCATTCATTTGATCTTCCATCACTGATACCCATTCTTCCAGTTGATCCAATCGGCTACTGAGGCTTGTGCGTTCGTCACGTAGTTCTCGTGCCTTGGTTTTCAGCTCCATCAGGTCCTTTAAGGACTTCTCTGCATTGGTTATTCTAGTTAGCCATTCGTCTAATCTTTTTTCAAGGTTTTTATCTTCTTTGCCATGGGTTCAAACTTCCTCCTTAACTCGGAGAAGTTTGATCATCTGAAGCCTTCTTCTCTCAACTTGTCAAAGTCATCCTCCATCCAGCTTTGTTCCATTCCTGGTGAGGAGCTGCGTTCCTTTGGAGCAGGAGAGACGCTCTGATTTTTAGAGTTTCCAGTTTTTCTGCTCTGTTTTTTCCCCATCTTTGTGGTTTTATCTACCTTTGGTCTTTGTGATGATGACGTAGAGATGGGGTTTTGGTGTGGATGTCCTTTCCATTTGTTAGTTTTCCTTTTACCAGTCAGGACCCTCAGCTGCAAGTCTGTTGGAGTTTCCTGGAGGTCCACTCCAGACCCTGTTTTCCTTGGTATCAGCAATGGAGGCTGCAGAACAGTGGATATTGGTGAAGAGCAAATGTTGCTGCCTGATCGTTCCTCTGGAAGTTTTGTCTCAGAGGAGTACCCGGCTGTGTGAGGTGTCAGTCTGCCCCTACTGGGCGGTGCCTCCCAGTTAGGCTACTCAGGGGTCAGGGACCCACTTGGGGAGGCAGTCTGTCCATTCTCAGATCTCCAGCTGCGTGCTGGGAGAACCACTACTCTCTTCAAAGCTGTCAGACCACTAATCTCTTCAAAGCTGACAGGGACATTTAAGTCTGCACAGTTTTCTGCTGCCTTTTGTTTGGCTATGCCCTGCCCCCAGAGGTGGAGTCTACAGAGACAGGCAGGCCTCCTTGAGATGCAGTGGGCTCCACCCAGTTCGAGCCTCCCAGCCACTTTGTTTACCTACTCAAGCCTCAGCAATGGTGGACACACCTCCCCCAGCCTTGCTGCCGCCTTGCAGTTTGATCTCAGACTGCTGTGCTAGCAATGAGCAAGGCTCCATGGGTGTAGCACCTTCCAAGCCATGCGCAGGATATAATCTCCTGGTGTGCCATTTGCTAAGACTTTTGGAAAAGCACAGTATTAGGGTGGGAGTGACCTGATTTTCCAGATGCCATCTGTCACCTCATTCTTTGCCTAGGAAAGGAATTCCCTGACCCCTTGCACTTCCCGGGTGAGGTGATGCCTCACCCTGCTTCAGCTCATGCTCAGTATGCTGCACCCACTGTCCTGCGCCCACTGTCCGACACTCCCCAGTGAGATGAACCTGGTACCTCAGTTGGAAATGCAGAAATCACCCATCTTCTGCATCGCTCATGCTGGGAGCTATAGACTCTTTATCCAGTTTGCCAGTCTGTGTCTTTTAATTGGAGCATTTAGCCCATTTACATTTAAGGTTAATATTTTTATGTGTAAATTTGATCCTGTAATTATGATGTTAGCTGGTTATTTTGCTCGTTAGTTGATGCAGTTTCTTCCTAGCATTGATGGCCTTTACAATTTGTCATGTTTTTGCAGTGACTGGTACAGTTGTTCCTTTCTATATTTAGTTCTTCCTTCAGGAGCTCTTGTAGAGCAGGCCTGGTGGTGACAAAATCTCTCAGCATTTGCTTGTCTGTAAAGGATTTTATTTCTCCTTCACTTATGAAGCTTAATTTGGCTGGATATGAAATTCTGGGTTGAAAAATCTTTTCTTTAAGAAAGTTGAATATTGGCCCCCACTCTCTTCTGGCTGGTAGAGTTTCTACCGAGAGATCAGCTATTAGTCTGATGGGCTTCCCTTTGTGGGTCACCTGACCTTTCTCTCTGGCTGCCCTTAACATTTTTTCCTTCATTTCAACTTTGGTGAATCTCACAATTATGTGTCTTGGACTTGCTCTTCTTGAGGAGTATCTTTGTGGTGTTCTCTGTATTTCCTGAATTTGAATGTTGGCCTGCCTTGCTAAGTTCTCCTGGATAATATCCTGAAGAGCGTTTTCCAACTTGGTTCCATTCTCCCTGTCACTTTCAGGTACACCAATCAGATGTAGATTTGGTCTTTTCACATAGTCCCATATTTCTTGGAGGCTTTGTTACTTTCTTTTTATTCTTTTTTCTCTAAGCTTCTCTTCTTGCTTCATTTCATTCATTTGATCTTCAATCACTGATACCCTTTCTTCCAGTTGATCGAATTGGCTACTGAAGCTTGTGCATTAATCACGTAGTTCTTGTGCCTTGGTTTTCATCTCCATCAGGTCATTTAAGGACTTCTCTACACTGGTTATTCTAGTTAGCCATTCGTCTATCTTTTTTCAAGGTTTTTAGCGTCTTTGTTTTGGGTTCAAACTTCCTCCTTTAGCTCGGAGAAGTTTGATCATCTGAAGCCTTCTTCTCTCAACTCGTCAAAGTCATTCTCCATCCAGCTTTGTTCCATTGCTGGTGAGGAGCTGCATTCCTTTGGATGGGGAGAGGTGCTCTGATTTTTAGAATTTTCAGCTTCTCTGCTCTGTTTTTCCCCCATCTTTGTGGTTTTATCTACCTTTGGTCTTTGATGATGGTGATGTACAGATGGGGTTTTGGTGTGGATGTTCTTTCTGTTTGTTAGTTTTCCTTCTACCAGTCAGGACCCTCAGCTGCAGGTCTGTTGGAGTTTGCTGGAGGTCCACTCCAGACCCTGTTTGCCTTGGTATCAGCAAGGAGTCTGCAAAACAGTGAATATTACAGAACATCAAATGTTGCTCCCTGATCATTCCTCTGGAAGCTTCATCTCAGACAGGTACCCGGCTGTGTGAGGTGTCAGTCTGTGCCTACTGAGGGGTGCCTCCCAGTTAGGCTACTCAGGGGTAAGGAACCTACTTGAGGAGGCAGTCTGTCCATTTTCAGATCTTAAACTCCATGCTGGGAGAACCACTACTCTCTTCAAAGCTGTCAGACCGGGACATTTAAGTCTGCAGAGTTTTCTGCTGCCTTTTGTTTGGCTATGCCCTGCCCCCAGAGGTGGAGTCTACAGAAGCAGGCAGGCCTCCTTGACCTGTGGTGGGCTCTGCCCTGTTTGAGCTTCCCAGCTGCTTTGTTTATCTACTCAAGCCTCAGCAATGGCGGGCTCCCCTCCCCCAGCCTTGCTGCAGCCTTGCAGTTCAATCTCAGACTGCTGTGCTAGGAATGAGTGAGGCTCTGTGGACATGGGACCCTCTGAGCCAGGGACAGGATATAATCTCCTGGTGTGCCATTTGCTAAGACTGTTAGAAAAGCACAGTATTAGAGTGGGAGTGACCCGATTTTCCAGGTGCCATCTGTTACCCCTTCCCTTGGCTAGGAAAGGGAATTCCCTGATCCCTTGCACTTCCTGGGTGGGGTGATGCCTTGCCCTGCTTCGGCTCACACTTGGTGGCCTGCCCCCACTGTCCAATGAGCCCCAGTGAGATGAACCCAGTACCTCAGTTGGAAATGCAGAAATCACCCATCTTCTGCGTTGCTCACACTGTGAGCTGTAGACTGGAGCTGTTCCTATTCAGCCATCTTGGAACCACCCCCAAAATATTGATTTAAGTTTGGAAGCAATAAAATGTATTTTTTTGAAATCCACTGTAAATGTATATGAGAAAGTAAAAACTGAATGGCCCATTGCTTAAAGGTCACATCATTGATGGGATTTAATGCCTAAGTTCAAGGCTGTGCCCAAGAATCTCTTGTGTTCATTTCTGTTAGAAGTCCCACTGGAAGCAGCAGAACTATCAGGATAAAAATAGTGCAAACTGAAAAATATAAAAGACTGTCTGCTTTCAAAAGTGAGTAAACATTGGGAAAGGTAATACTCACCTAACACTTGTAAGAGGAGGAAAAATATAAAAGTTATTACTGTTTTATTATGTTATATATATAAATGGAGATCTAATTCTTATAAGGAATTTTTGTTGAGTATGAGGCCAAGAAATGTACCACGATCATGTTATAGTGAAGGTGATGATGACAATGGTGGGAATCCTTTTAATGCTGGAAGAAGAATTCTGAAGCCAATGTGTGGAGTTATTTTTTAAAAAATAGCTCCGTTCTTAGGATATTGCTAAAGAAACAGAACTATTGTAGCTTTTAGTGCATTAGAACCAAATCATGAAGATCTGGTGGCCAGAGTGACAGAGTATTTACTAACATCTAATACTTCATTAATGACCTAGAACATAATTATTTCCACATTTATATTATGTTATTGCCATATCTCAGGCTACACATTCAATTTCAATTTCACTTTTCCTTATTACTCTAAGATTTTTGGTAATCCAGTCAGGGTCTAAAATTGGTTGTACTGCTGCTGCCTTTTACAGTGGAAAATAAAATAATGCTAGTTAGGATAATGGTCCTTTTTGGCTACACTGTGACATAGAGTGACAGAAGTCACTGGCAATAATCAGTTCTTAGCCATAATGTCAGGCCCAATTCAGCAGTGAGAACTAGGGTTAGATGTGGTAAAAGCCAAAACTCAACCCTTGTAGTTAAATGAAAGTCAGAACATGACTAGGGTCAAATGCCAGATTAACACATGAGGATTTGTTAGATCCAAGTAGGCCAAGCTGTAGTGTCCAAAAGTTAAGATATAAACCTCTCACTTTAGGTCCAGAAAAATTCTCATGGCCTCCATGAATTCTGAAAGTACCATCATCTAGAATCACGATTGCCAAGAGGAAGGCAGCCATGGCATCACTTGTTAGCAGCAAGCCTCTGCTCACTGAGAAGTTGTCTCACATCTCATCTCTAACCCAGCTTATCTACTTCCTAGCAAAAGGCCACCTCACCCCTTCCCCTACTCCCACCTACATCTTTGTCCTTATTTGAATGGGACAAAAGTTGGAAAGCATAGCTTTATTTGATCATCTTTCCTTAGCCTTCTCTAGACTGTCAGGAGCCATAATTGGGTTTGACCTAAGATTAGGAACTTACAGTGAAGTTGAAATCTGTTTTTTAAAAGTTATTGAAACTGAGGCATATAACAAGAATTTATATTTCTAAAGATATTAACTGATTATAAAAGCCTTTAATATATATTACCTTAGTTATTTTTATAACAATCCTAAAAGATATAATAGGTATTATTACTCCAGTAACATAGAAAATAAAGTTCATAGTGCTAAGGGATTTTGTTTTACGTCTTGTAGGTAACAAACGAGGACTCAGACTTTGGTCTTTTGATTTCAAGTTCAGTGCCTTTCCTAGGATATTTTGTTTTGGAGTTGGAAGTAGCCCAAGATTGCAGTTACTGGGTCAGAACTGTGGTTCAGTTGTACAATACATACATCAGATCAGTTGCTTCAATATTACCTGGGAATTTGTTAAAAATGAAAATTCTAGGCCCCCATCTCAGACTTACTGAACCTGAAACTTTGGGAGAGAAGACATATTATCTATAGTTAAGTGAGTCCTCCAGCTGATTCTGATGCATGTTAGAGAATCATCATTATAATGATTCTTTACCTTAGGTGTTTACAATAATAAAAATATTTTTGTTTAGATCACCCCATATGGTCGGGTGCGGTAGTGCATGCCTGTAATCCCAGCACTTAGGGAGGCTGAGGAGGCTAGAACACCTGAGGTCAGGAGTTTGAGACCAGCCTGGCCAACATGGTGAAATCCCCGTCTCTACCACACCCATCACCAGGTTGCTACTTGGGAGGCTGAGGCAGGAGAATCACTTGAACTTGGGAGGCAGAGGTTGCAGTGAACTAAGACCGTGCCATTGCACTCCAGCCTGGGTGACAAGAGAGAAACTCCATCTCAAAAAAATAAATAAATAAATCACTACATACTGTATCAGGCAGGAACTGCATGGTTATATACATTTTGCCAAGATGTTTATATATAGCTATTTATGAAATAATTATATATTATGGTTTTATATTTTCAGTTTATACTCAGGAATTTTGGGGTAACTTAGTATAACTAACATCCAGTTTTAATTTTCTTTGAGGTTGCTGGTTCTCAGTTGTTTATACAGTTTCCACCAGGCTATATACTTGTTCCTTTAGGACCTTATTCTTCACAAAGAAAATCTCTTAATCCTTGCATAAATGCTAGGTTTCCAACAATTGATTCCCATGGAGGAATTTGTTTCCCCTCAAAGTATAATGCAAAATGCTGGCTATTTGCTTTATTTAACTGAAGAAACATTTTCTCTTTCGTTCTTCCTCTTCCTTTTTCCTCTCTCATTTCCATTGTCTCCCTCTTTCTGTTACATGCATAACAGAAACAAATGTATACATATGTTTAACTTTATAAAATTGTGATAATGCTGTATATACTACTCTATAACCAATATTTTAAACAATACACATTATTGTAAATCTCATGTTATTAAATATTTTATAAATAGCAATTAAATATCTACATAATATTTTGGAGCATAGATTTTTAACAGCTTTATTGAGGTATAATTAACATAAAATTTGATGATTTGAACATATGCATATATCTGTGTGTAGGAAAACAGCCTGTTGCATGTCAAAAGTGAGGCCATCTTGAAGTGAAACTGACATAATGACCAGTGTTTGACACCCACATACCAAAGCGTTCTGCAGTAAGGCCATTAAACAATCCCTGGTGCACAGGTAACCCCTCATGAAGATACTTCTGTAAGGTCCACAGTATCCTCTCGGCTCCCTCAGCTTCCAAGAGGAAGGCATATGTCTGCTCTGGGGGTAGGTTTGCATATATTACCCACCATGAACACTGTGAAACCATTATCACAATCAAGGTAATAAAAATATTCATCATTCCCAAAAGTTTCCTCGTGTACATTTGGTATTGTATGTGTGTATATGTGTGTGTGTGATTGTGATAAGAACACTTAACATGAGATCTACTCTCTCAACAAATTTTTAAGTGCACAATACAGTATGTTAACCATAGATACTATGTTGTACAGGATATTTCTATGATCTCCAGAAGAACTTATTTACCTTGTATAACTGAATTTTTATAACCATTAAACAACTCCCTACATCCTCCTCTCCTCATGCCTTGCTAACCACCATTCTAATCTCTGCTTTTATGGTTTGACTATTTTAGATATCTCATATATAGATTTTGATAACATTCTGGCATTACCAAATTAAAGACATTTAGTTTATTTCCCAAGATTTTGCTATTATAAGTAACAGTGGTGAACAACTTGCTATGAAAATCTTTGGGAGATATTTTAGATTATGTTCTTGGAATAAATTCCAAAATGTGTGAGTGGGTCAAGAGAGAAAGACATTTTCTTACACTTTGGAAAAATATAATCCATTTTATTCTAGCTTTCAGTTTGGGTTGCATCTATGCAAACATAACTTTTCTTTTGATTTTTTGTTTCATGGCAAAGGTGACAACATTTTGGTAGTGAAATAAACATTTTTTCATACTTTCCCAGGAGGCATTTTGATTTCTTGTTAAAGCCGAGAGCTGTGCTAGAGCAGCAGGGTGGCTGGATTCCTCCTGCCATGGGCAGCTGGTTGTCTTACTGCTGATTTTATCCATGAGCCTTCTCAGAATTAGCTGCTTTCAAATTTTGTTTCTAAGAAAGTCAGGGTGGCCCTTGATGAGGAGTAATGGGAGGGAAGCCTAATGACTGAAATCAATAAAAAAAGTAAGTCTGCAGTGCTTTAAAATGGAAGGGAGAGATTGAGGCATTGGAGAAAATGGCTGCAGCTCAGGAAAGCAAACTTTAGGGGGGATTAAAAGAAGGAAACAGACTAAAAATAGGCTAATGTGTAGATATCAAAAGGAAGTAGATAATTGCCTCAGTATAAAATAAATAATATTCGAGCATGTCAGAAATTAGAATGAGTCATCTTGGGAGAAAAGACATTCCTTTTTGCTTAATGGAGATTTTTAGAGAGGATATAGAGACCACTTATGACAGATTTTTAAGGCTTAACAAGATATCCTCTAGTGCTCTTCCAAAACTATAATTTTGTGAAATAAAGTCACTAGTAAAGAGGAGATGTTGTGGATGTAATTGTCTCTTGAACTTATTCTTCTTTCTGGGTGTTTTAACATTACTGTCTTGTCCCTCTGTGGGTATTAATGAGAAGGCACTTGAGATAAAATGAAGAGCTGAACTGCTTTAAAAACTTTATCCGACTGTGAGGAACAGCTTAAAGAACTATGTAAGCAAAAAGAAAAGAGGCTACTCTACGGATTTCATCAGGTTGAATGAATAATTACAAGATGAGGCTTGATTTGTCCTCAAGGGATTCTTTCTTCTGCCAAACAAATCACTACATTACTTTGTTAATTATGCATATTTTTATTAATTGACCATGTTAAACGTAAAAATTCAAACAAATGAAAGTCTATAGTGCTTGCATAAGCAGCACATATACTAAAATTGGAATGATACAGAGAAGAAGAGCATGACCTCTGCACAAGGATGTCACACAAATCTGTGAAATGTTCCATACTTTTAGACCCTGAACAGTGCCTAGGCCCTGTGAAAACATCCAGAAAAGAAGTCTGCTGACTGTACTTACCCTACATCACAGTTGGAGAAACACCCAAACAAAGAGATGAGAAAGAACTAACACAAGAACATTGGCAACTCAGATCTCCAGTGTCTTATGTCATCCAACTGACCACACTAGTTCTCAAACAGGGCTTCTTAACAGGGCTGAGATGGCTGAAATGATTGATATAGAATTCACAATATGGATAGGAATGAAGATCATCAGATTCAGGAGCATGGTAAAACCCAACCCAAGGAAACTAAGAATATAATAAAATGATACAGGAGCTGACTGATGAAATAGCCAGTATAAGAAAAAACCTAACTGTCCTAATATTGCTGAAAAACACACAAGTATTTCACAATGCAATCACAAGTATTAATAGCAAAATAGACCAAGCTGAGGAAAGAATCTCAGAGCTTGAAAACTAGTTCTCTGAAATAACACAATCAGACAAAAATAAAGAGAAAAGAATAAAAAGGAATGAATAAAACCTCTGATAAGTATGGAATTATATAAGAAGGGCAAATATATGAATCAGTGGCATCCCTGAAAAAGATGGGGAGAAAGTAAGCAACTTGGAACATATATTTTAGGATATTGTCCATGATAACTTCCCCAATCTCTCTAGAATGGCCATCAATCAAATTCAAGAAATACAGAAAATCCCTGTAAGATTCTACACAAGATCACCCCCAAAACACATAATTATCCAATTTTCCAAAGTTGAAATGAAAGAATGTTAAAGGTAGCTAGAGAGAAAAGGCAGATCACCTACAAGTAGAATTCCATCAAATTAACAGTGGACCTTTCAGCAGGAACCCTACAAGCCAGAAGAGACTGGGGGCCTACATTCTACATTCTTAGAGAAAAAAAAAAAAAACCTTCATTTAAGAATTTCATATCCAGCCAAACTAAGCTTCCTAAGTGAAGGAGCAATAAGATCCTTTTCAGACAGGCAAATGCTAAAGGAATTTATTACCACCAGACCTATCTTATAAGAGTTTTTGAAAGAAGCACTAAATATGGAAAGAAAAGACTATTACCAGACCCCCAAAAAAAGACAGTTAAGTACACAGACCAGTGACACTATAAAACAACCACATAAACAAACCTGCATAATAACCAGCTAACAACAAAATAATAGGATAAAATCCACACCAAACTAACCTTGAATGTAAATGGGCTAAATGCCAAAATTAAAAGGCACAGAGTGGTAAGCTGGATAAAAAAGCAAGACTCAATGGTATGCTGTCTTCAAGAGACCCATCTCACATGCAATGACACCTATAGACTCAAAAGGAAAAACAGATGGAGGAAAATTTATCAAGCAAATAGAAATCAGAAAAAAAGCAGAAGTGGCAATCCTAATTTCAGACAAAACAGACTTTAAACCAACAAACATCAAAAAAGACATAAAAGGGCATTACATCATGGTAAAAGGTTCAATTCAAAAAGAAGACCTAACTGTCTTAAGTACACATGCCCCCAACACAGGAGCACCCAGATTCTTAAAGCAAGTTCTTAGAGGCCTACAAAGAGAACTAGACTACCACATAATAATAGTGGGCAACTTCAACACACCACTGACAGTATTAGACAGATCATTGAACCAGAAAATTAACAAAGATATTCAGGACTTCAACTCCACACTGGAATAAATGGATCTAACAGACATTTACAAAAATCTCCACCCCCAAACAACAGAATATACCTTCTTCTTATCACCACATGGCACATACTCTAAAACTGACCACAGGATCGAACATAAAACGACACTCAGCAAATGCATAAAACCCCACAAAATTATATCAGTCACACTTTCAGACCACAGTCCAAAAAAAAAAAATAGAAATCAAGACTAAGAAAATGGCCCCAAACCATAAGAATAGATAGAAATTAACAACCTGCTCCTGAATAACTTTTGGGTAAATAACAAAATTAAGGCAGAAATCAAGAAGTTATTTGAAACTAATGAGGACAAAGATACAATGTATCAGAATCACTGGAACACAAATAAGGCAGTGTTAAGGGGGAAATTTATAGCACTAAATGCCCACATCAAAAACTTAGGAAGATCTCCAATTAATGACCTACCATCACAACTACAAGAACTAGAGAAGCAAGAGCAAACCAACCACAAAGATAGCAGAAGACAAAAAATAAACAAAATCAGAGTTGAACTGAAGATGACTGAGACACAAAAAAAAACATTCAAAAGATCAGCAATACTAGAAGTTGGTGTTTTAAAAATATTAATAAGGTGGGGTTGGTGCTTCCAAGATGGCTGAATAGGAACAGATCCAGTCTACAGCTCCCAGCAAGATCAATGCAGAAGATGGGTGATTTCTGCATTTCCAACTGAGGTACCTGGTTCATCTCATTGAGACTGGTTGGACCCTGGGTACAGCCCATGAAGGGCAAGCCGAAGCAGGGCACAGCATCACCTCACCTGGAAGGTGCAAGGGCTAGGATTTCCCTTTCCTAGCCAAGGGAAGCCATGAGTGACTGTACCTGGAGGAACGGTAAACTCCTACCCAAATACTGCACTTTTCCCATGGTCTTTGCAACTGGCAGACCAGGAGATTCCCTCCCGTGCCTGGCTCAGCAGGTCCCACGCCCATGGAGCCTTGCTCACTGCTAGCGCAGCAGTCTGAGATTGACCTGGGAAGCTGGAGCTTGGCAGGGGGAGGGGCGTCCACCATTGCTGAGGCTTGAGTAGGCCATTCTATGCTCACAGTGTAAACAAAGTGGCAGGAAATCTCAAACTGGGCAGAGCCCACTGCAGCTCAGCAAGGCCTACTGCCTCTCTAGATTTCACTTCTTGGGGCAGGGCATATCTGAACAAAAGGCAGCAGACAGCCTCTGTAGACATCAACATCCCTGCCTGACAGCTCTGAAGGGAGCAGTGGTTCTCCCAGCATGGCATTCGAGCTCCAATAGTGGACAGCCTGCCTCCCCAAGTGGGTCCCTGACTCCCATGTAGTCTGACTGGGAGACATCTCACAGTGGGGGCCAACAGACACCTCATACAGGTAGGTGCCCCTCTGGGATGAAGCTTCCAGAGGAAGGATCAGGCAGCAATATTTGCTGTTCTGCAGCCTCCACTGGTGATACCCAGGCAAACAGGTTCTGGAGTGGACCTCCAGCAAACTCCAACAGATCTGCAGCTGAGAGGCCTGTCTGTTAGAAGGAAAACTAACAAACAGAAAGCAATAGAATCAACATCAACAAAAAGGACATCCACACCAAAACCCCATCTGTATGTCACCAACATCAAAGACCAAAGGTAGATAAAACCACAACGATGGGGAGAAACCAGAGCAGAAAGGCTGAAAATTCCAAAAATCAGAACACCTCTTCCCCTCCAAAAGAACACAATTCCTCGCCAGCAAGGGAACACAACTGAACAGAGAATGAGTTTGACGAGTTGACAGAAATAGGCTTCAGAAGGTCGGTAATAACAAACTTCTCTGAGCTAAAGGAGCATTTTCTGACCCATCGCAAGGAAGCTAAAAACCTTGAAAAAAGGTTAGAGAAATGGCTAACTAGAAACACCAGCACAGAGAAAAGCTTAAATGACCTGATGGAGCTGAAACCCACAGAACAAGAACTTCATGAAGCATACACAGGCTTCAATAGCCCATTGGATCAAGCGGAAGAAAGGATATCAGTGATTGAAGATCAAATTAATGAAATAAGTGAGAAACAAGATTAGAGAAAAGAGAGTGAAAAGAAATGAACCAAGCCTCCAAGAAATATGGGACTAGATGAAAAGACCAAATCTATGTTTGATTGGTGTACCTGAAAGTGACGGGGAGAATGGAACCAAGTTAGAAAACACTCTTCAGGATATTATCCAGGAGAACTTCCTCAACCGAGCAAGGCAGGCCAACATCCAAATTCAGGAAATATGGAGAACACCACAAAGATACTCCTCGAGAAGGGCAACCCCAAGACACATAATTGTCAGATTCACCAAGGTTGAAATGAAGGAAAAAATGTTAAGGGCAGCCAGAGAGAAAGGTCGGGTTACCCACAAAGGGAAGCCCATCAGACTAACAGTGGATGTCTCAGCGGAAACCCTACAAGTCAGAGGAGAGTGGGGGCCAATATTCAACTTTCTTAAAGAAAAGAATTTTCAACCCAGAATTTCATATCCAGCCAAACTAAGCTTCATAAGTGAAGGAGAAATAAAATCCTTTACAGACAAGCAAATACTGAGAGATTTTGTCACCACCAGGCCTGCCTTACAAGATCTCCTGAAGGAAGCACTAAATATGGAAAGGAACAACTGGTACCAGCCACTGCAAAAACATGCAAAGTGTAAAGACCATCGACACTATGAAGAAACTGCATCAATTAACGGGTGAAATAACCAGCTAGCATCATAAGGACAGGATCAAATTCACACATAAAATATTAACTTTTAATGTAAATGGGCTAAATGCCCCAATTAAAAAACACAGACTGGCAAATTGGATAAAGAGTCAAGACCCATCAGTGTGCTGTATTCAGGAGACACATCTCACATGCAAAGACACATATAGGCTCAAAATAAAGAGATGGAGGAAGATCTGTCTAGAAAATGGAGAGCAAAAAATAAGCAGGAGATGCAATCCTAGTCTCTGATAAAACAGACTTTAAACCAACAAAGATCAAAAGAGACAAAGAAGGCCATTACATAATGGTAAAGGGATCAATGCAACAAGAAGAGCTAACTATCCTAAATATGTATGCACCCAATACAGCAGCACCCAGATTCATAAAACAAGTTCTTAGAGACCTACAAAGAGACTTAGACTCCAACACAATAATAATGGGAAACTATAACACCCCACTGTCAATATTAGACAGATCAATGAGACAGAAAGTGAACAAGGATATCCAAGACTTGAACTCAGCTCTGGACCAAGCGGACCTAATAGACATCTACAGAACTCTCCACCCCAAATCAACAGAATATACGTTCTTCTCAGCACCACATTGCACTTATTCTAAAATTGACCACATCATTGGAAGTGAAACACTCCTCAGCAAATGTAGAAGAACAGAAATCACAACAAACAGTCTCTCAGACCACAGTGCTATCAAATTAGAACTCAGGATTAAGAAACTCACTCAAAACCACAGAACTACTTGGAAACTGAACAATTGCTTCCTACTGGGTAAATAACAAAATGAAGGCAGAAATAAAGATGTTCTTTGAAACAAATGGGAACAAAGACACAATGTACAAGAATCTCTGGGACACATTTAAAACAGTGTGTAGAGGGAAATTTATAGCACTCAATGCCAACATGAAAAAGCAGGAAAGATCTAAAATCAACACCCTAACATCACAATTAAAAGAACTAGAGAAGCACGAGCAAACAAATTCAAAAGCTAGCAGAAGACAAGAAATAACTAGGATCAGAGCAGAACTGGAGGAGATAGAGACACAAAACACCCTTCAAAAATCAACGAATCCAAGAGCTGATTTTTTGAAAAGATCAAGAAAATAGATAGACCACTAGCAAGACTAATAAGAAAAGAGAGAAGAATCAAATAGACACAATAAAAAATGATAAAGGGGATATCACAACCAATCCCACAGAAATACAAACTACCATCGGAGAATACTATGAACACCTCTATGCAAATAAACCTGAAAATCTAGAAGAAATGGATAAATTCCTGGACACATATACCCTCCCAAGACTAAACAAGGAAGAATTTGAATCTCTGAGTAGACCAATAACAGATCCTGAAATTGAGGCAATAATTAATAGCCTACCAAGCAAAAAACACCCAGGACCAACAGATTCACAGCCAAATTCTACCAGAGGTACAAAGAGGAGCTGGTACCATGCCTTCTGAAACTATTCCAATCAATAGAAAAAGAGGAAATCTTCCCTAACTCATTTTATGGGGCCAGCATCATCCTAATACTAAAGCCTGACAGAGACACAACAAAAAAAGAGAATGTTAGGCCAATATCCCTGATGAACATTGATGCAAAATCATCAATAAAATACTGGCAAACTGAATCCAGCAGCACATCAAAAAGCTTATCCACCACTATTAAGTCAGCTTCATGCCTGGGATGCAAGCGTGGTTCAACATATGCAAATCAATAAATGTAACCCATCACATAAACAGAACCAATGACAAAAGCCACATGATTATCTCAGTAGATGCAGAAAAGACCTTTGATAAAATTCAACAGTGCTTCATGCTAAATACTCTCAATAAACTAGGTATTGATGGAACGTATCTCAAAATAATAAGAGCTATTTATGACAAATCCACAGCCCATATCATGCCGAATGGGCAAAAACTGGAAGCATTCCTTTCGAAAACTGGCAGAAGACAAGGATGCCATCTCTCACCACTCCTATTCAACGCAGTACTGGAAGTTCTGGCCAGAGCAATCAGGCAAGAGAAAGAAATAAAGGGTATTCAACTGGGAAAAGAGGAAGTCAAATTGTCTCTGTTTGCAGATGACATGATTGCATATTTAGAAAATCCCATAGTCCCAGCCAAAAATCTCCTTAAGCTGATAAGCAACTTCAGTAAACTCTCAAGATACAAAATCAACGTGCAAAAATCACAAGCATTCCTATACACTAATAACAGGCAAACAGAGAGCCAAATCATGAGTGAACTCCCATTCACAATTACTACATAAAGAATAAAATCCTAGGAATCCAACTTACAAAGGATGTGAAAGGCCTCTTCAAGGAGAACTACAAACCACTGCTCAATGAAATAAAAGAGGACGCAAACAAATGGAAGAACATTCCATGCTCATGGAAAGGAAGAATCAATATCGTGAAAATGGCCATACTGCCCACGGTAATTTATAGATTCAAGGCTATCCCCATCAAGCTACCAAAGACTTTCTTCACAGAATTGGAAAAAAACTACTTTAAATTTCATATGGAACCAAAAAGAGCCCGCATAGCAAAGACAATCCTAAGCAAAAAGAACAAAGCTGGAGACATCAGGCTACCTGACTTCAAACTATAATAGTACAAGTCTACAGTAACCAAAACAGCACAGTACTGGTACAAAAACAGGTATATAGACCAATGGAACAGAACAGAGGGCTCAGAAATAACATCACATATCTACAACCATCTGATCTTTGACAAACCTGACAAAAACAAGCAATGGGGAAAGGATTCTCTATTTAATAAATGGTCTTCGGTAAATTGGCTTGCCATATGTAGAAAGCTGAAACTGGGTCCCTTCCTTACACCTTATATAAAAATTAACTCAAGATGGATTAAAGTCTTAAATGTAAGACCTAAAACCATAAAAACCCTAGAAGAAAACCTAGGCAATACCATTTAGGACATAGGCATGGGCAAAGACTTCATGACTAAAACACCAAAAGCAATGGCAAGAAAAACCAAAATAGACAAATGGGATCTAATTAAACTAAAGAGCTTCTGCATAGCAAAAGAAACTACCATCAGAGTGAAAGGGGAACCTACAGAATGGGAGAAAATATTTGCAATCTATCCATCTGACAATGGGCTAATATCCAGAATCTACAAAGAACTTAAGCAAATTTACAAGAAAAAAAAAACCATCAAAAAGTGAACAAAGGGTATGAACAGACACGTCTCAAAAGAAGACATGTATGCAGCCAAGAGACATATGAAAAAACGCTCATCATCACTTGTCCTCAGAGAAATGCAAATCAAAACCGCAATGAGATACTATCTCGTGCCAGTTAGAATAGTGATCATTAAAAAGTCAGGAAACAACAGATGCTGCAGAGGATGTGGAGAAATGGGAACGCTTTTACACTGTTGTTGGGAGTCTAAATTAGTTTAACCACTGTGGAAGACAGTGTGGCAATTCTTCAAGTATCTAGAACTAGAAATACCATTTGACCCAGCAGTCCCATTACTGGGTATATACCCAAAGGATTATAAATCATGCTACTATAAAGACACATGCACACGTATGTTTACTGCGGCACTATTCACAATATCAAAGACTTAGAACTAACGCAAATGTCCATCAATAATAGGCTGGATGAAAAAAAAAAAGTGACACATATACATTCTCAGCAAAATATCACAAGGACAGAAAACCAAACACCACATGTTCTCACTCATAAGTGGGAGGTGAACAATGAGAACACACGGACACAGGGAGGGGAACATCACATACTGGGGCCTGTCAAGGGGTGGGGGGGCTAGCGTTAGGAGAAATACCTAATGTAAATGACTGGGGGAGGGATAGTGTTAGGAGAAAAACCTAATGTAAATGATGAGTTGACAGGCGCAGCAAACCAACATGGCACATGTATACCTATTTAACAAACCTGCAAGTTGTGCACATGTACCTTAGAACGTAAAGTATAATATAAAATAAGAAAATATTAATAAGGTAATTAAAGCCCTAGCTAGACTAATAAAGAATAAAAGAGAAAAGATCCAAATAAACATAATTAGAAACAACAAAAGGAATGGTACCACTGACTCCACAGAAATACCACTAACTATCAGAGACTACTATAAACACCTCTATGCACACAAATGAGAAAATCTAGAAGAAAAGGATACACACCTGGAAACACTCACTCTCAAAACTGATCCAGGAAGAAAAATGAATCCTAAACAGACCAATACAAGTTCTAAAATTGAATCAGTAATAAATAGTCTACCAACCAAAAGAAGCCTAGAACCAGATGGACTTACAGCTGAATTCTACCAGATGAACAAAGAAGAGCTGGTAACATTCCTACTGAAACTATTCCAAAAATTTGAGAAGGAGGGAATCCCCCCAACTCATTCTATGAGTCTAACATCATCCTGATACCAAAACCTGTCAGAGACACAGCAACAACAACAAAAAACTTCAGGGCAATACCCTTGATGAACATTGATGCAAAAATCCTAAAAAATGTACTAGAAAATCAAATCCAGCAGCACATTAAAAAGCTAATCCACCACAATCAAGTAGGTTTTATCCCTGCAATGTAAGGTTGCTTCAACATACACAAATCAATAAATGTGATTCATCACATAAAGAGAACTAAAGACAAAAACCACATGATTATATCAATAGATGCAGGAAAGTCTTTTGATAAAATTCAAAATGTTAAAAACTCTCAACAAACTAGGTATTAAAGGAATGTACCTCATGATTAAAAGGGTCATCTATGAAAAACCCATGGCCAACATTATACTGAATGGGCAAAAGCTAGAAGCATTCTCCTTGAAAACCAGCACAAGACAAGGATGCCCTCTCCTTCTGTTTGACATATTTTAATACTATCGAAAGTCCTGGCCAGAGCAATCAGGCAAGAGAAAGAAATAAAGGGCACCCAAATAGGAAGAGAGGAAGTCGAAATATTCCTATTTGCTGATGACATGATTCTACATCTAGAAAACCCCATAGTCTCTGCCCAACAGCTCCTTAAGCAGATAAACAACTTCAGCAAAGTTTCAGATGCAATATCAATGTACAAAAATTTTCACATTTCTATATACAAACAACAGCCTAGCCATGAGCCAAATCAGAAATGCAATCTCATTTACAATTGCCACAAATAAAATAAAATGCTTAGAACTATAGCTACAAGAAAGGTGAAAGATCTCTACAATGAGAACCATAAAACACTGCTCAGGGAAATCAGAGATAATGTAAACAAATGGAAAAATATTCCATGCTCATGGATAGGGAGAATCAATATCGTTAAAATGGTCGTACTGCCAAAAGCAATTTACAGATTAAATTGCTATTCCTATCAAACTACCAATGACATTCATTCTTTACAGTATTAGAAAAAAAAACTATTTTAAAATTCATGTAATCAAGAGCCCAAATAGCCAAGGCAATTCTAAGCAAAGAGAACAAATCTGGAGACATCATGCCACTCGACTTCAAACTATACTAAGGGGCTACAGTAATCAAAATAGCATTGTACTGGAACAAAAGCAGACACACAGACCCATGGAACAGAATGGAGAGCCCCAAAAAAAGGTCTCCTACCTACAGCAATCTGATTTTTGGCAAAACTGGCAATGGGAAAAGGACATTTTATTCAATAAATGGTGCTAGGATAACTTGCTAGTCTTATGCAGAAGATTGAAAGTTCTGCATTTGAAAGTTTTCTTTCCTTAAGGATGTGGAGAAATAGGAATGCTTTTACACTGTTGGTGGGAGTGTAAATTAGTTCAACCATTGTGGAAGACAGTGTGGCAATTCCTCAAGGATATAGAACTAGAATTACCATTTGACCCAGCAATCCTGGGTATATACACAAAGGATTATAAATCATGCTACTATAAAGACACACGCACACATATGTTTATTGTGGCACTATTCACAATAGCAAAGACTTGGAACCAACCCAAATGTCCATCTATGATAGACTGGATAAAGAAAATGTGCACATATACACCATGGAATACTATGGAGCCGTTAAAAAGGATGAGTTCATATGTTTGCAGGGACATGGATGAAGCTGGAAACCATCATTCTCAGCAAACTATAACAAGGACAGAAAACCAAACACTGCATGTTCTGGCTCATAGGTGGGAACTGAACAATGAGGTCACTTGAACACAGGGAGGGGAACATCACACACTGGGGCCTGTCGGGGGGTGGCGGCCTGGTGGAGGGATAGCATTAGGAGAAATACCTAATGTAAATGATGAGTCGATGGGTGCAGCAAACTGACATGGCACATGTATACCTATGTATCAAACCAGCCTGTTGTGCACATGTACCCTAGAAAGTAAAGTATAAATAAAAAAAAGAGAAAGTTTCCTTTCCTTACACCATGTACAAAAATCAACTCAAGATGGATTAAAGACTTAAATGTAAAACCCAAATGTATAAAACTTTTGGGATACAACCTAAGAAATACTGTTCTGGACATAGAAAATGGCAATGATTTCACGTCAAAAACACCACAAGCAATTGCAACAAAAGCAAAAATGACAAATGGGATCTAATTAAACTAAAGAGCTTTTGCAAAGCAAAAGAAACTATCAACAGAGTAAACAGTCTCTAGAATGGGAGAAAATACTTGCAAATTATGAATCTGACAAAAGTCTAACAAACAAATTTATAAGCAAAAAAATTAAAAAATGAATAAAGAACATGAACAGATACTTTATAAAAGAAAACATATGTGGGCAGGAAACATGAAAAAAGCTCAGTATCACTGCTCATTAGAGAAATGCAAGTTAAAGCCACCATGAGATACCATTTCACATGAGTCAGAATGGCTACTATTAAAAGTCAAAAAACAACAGATACTAGCGAGGTTGCCAAAAAAAGTAAACACTTATACACTATTGGTTGGAGTGTAAATTAGTTCAACCATTGTGGAAAGAAGCATGACAATTCCTCCAATACCTAAAAACAAAACTACCACTTAATACAGCAATCTCAATACTGGATATATACCCAAAGGAATATAAATCATTCCTAAAGACATATTAATATGTATGTTCATTGCAGCACTATTCACAATAACAAAGACATGGAGCCAACCTAAATGCTCATCAATGGTAGACTGGATAATGAAAATATGTACATATACTCCATGGAATACTATGCAGCCACAAAAAAGAGCAAGATTATGTCTTTTGCAGGAACATAGATGAAGCTAGAGGCCATTATCCTTAGTAAATGAACACAGGAACAGAAACCAAATACCACATGTTCTCACTTACAAATGGGAGCTAAATAATAAGGACATAGTGACACAAAAAAGGGAACAACAGATACTGGGGCCTATTTGAGGGTGGAGGATGGGAGGAAGGAGAGCATAAGGAAAAAAAAAACTATCTGGTACTAAACTTAGTACCTGGGTGATGAAACAGTCTGTACACCAAACCCCCATGACACAAGTTTACCTATATAACCTGCACATGAAATCCTGCACCTAAAATAAAAGTTAAAATTCTTTCACTAAAAAAAGTCTATGTGCAATTTTCAGCACCTATGAATAATAATAACAATTAGATGTAATATCTTCTTTCTCAAATGTCACATGAACAAATTTCCTGTTAAATATCATGATGTATTAGAAAGAGCCCTGAATTTGGAGGCAGCATATGTTATAACGTACATGCCTAGTGACAGAAGGCAAATCATAACATAAAACACATGCCCAATTTTCTTATATAAAAAATAATGATAAAAATACCTGCTGTACACAGGTATTTCTACAGATAGAGAGGAGTTTTGAGGATTAGGCAATACATGTGAAACTATATGGTAACTACAAAGCCACAGCACAAATATAATGACAATGAAATAAAAATAAGGTAATCTCTTAAATCTTCCTACAACCAAAAACACAATATTCTATATTATTCTCAGAACCTTTCTTCTTCTTCTGAAGTGTTATTCAATTTGGTATTTGGTAGCATAGGATCATTTACCAATTAACAAAGATTACTAAGTAAAAAAATCAGAAAGCAGATAATAAGAAAATAAAAATCACTGACAATACAATTAAGCAGACATAAAGCTATTAATATTTATATATGTATATGAGTTTTTTCAGAAATATGTTCTATTTTAATTGTTTTACTAAACCATGAATTATAAACATATTTCCTTATGACAATGTATCCTTCTATAACCTTATTTAATAGTTGTAAAGTATTTCCTTGAATAGACAGATATACTATGATTTATGTTATAAAATATTATAATTAGTTTTGCAATTTTTCACAATGATAAATAACACTGCGATGGGCATTCTTATTTAAATTCTTATATCCATTTAAAATTATTTTTTATAGAATTAAATCATGTCCTTTTCAGTAACATAGACGGAGCTGGCGGGCATTATCCTAAGTGAAGTAACACAAGAAGATAATACCAAATACTGCATGTTCTCACTTTTAAGTGGGAACTAAATATTGAACACATATGGACACAAAGAAGGGAACAACAACATCAGGGATTACTTGAATGTGGAGGGTGGAAGGAGACTGAAGGCTGAAAAACTGTCTATTGGGTACTATGCTTATTTTCTGGGTGAAAAAAATCTGTGTACCAAACCTCTGTGACATGCAATTTATCTATATAACAAACCTGCACATGTACCCCAAAACCTAAAATTAGAGTTAAAAAAGTTTAAAAAACACACCAGAAAAACCCAAATGGAAGTGAATAAAATTATTTTCTACATGTAATTCATTAATATAATCAGATACCATTTGATTTTCAAGTATTTCTATGTATAATTTTGTATACATATATGGATAAATGTCATTGTACTACATATATGGATAAATGCCATTGTACTACATATATTGTTCTTTGGTCTGTGATTTTGCAATTAAAATATATTGTGAACACATTTAAACATCTATACTCAGAGAAATTCTTCATGCTTTGAAGTGATTCCAGTGTTCTGTTATTTGGGTATGCCATAATTTATGTAATGAAGCCTTTATGGATGGATGTTCAGATTGTTTTCTTTTTTTTTGTTGTTCTTACTTTCTACACCTACATCATTACTTTTTTGCATTAGTGCTTTCAAACTTTTTTGTCAAGACCACTTTTTCCTCTTAAAAGTTATTATTAAGGAAAAAAAACCCTGCCCTTGTGTGAGTGTGAATACAATGACTGCCAATACAGTTTGATGCCAATGACTTAATTACTGATTAAGATGTCATCAATTCTATCTATTATGTGCATCACTGCTTTTTACCATTAGTGCCAATGTCAACACAGAACAAAAGGCAAATGGCATCTCAGTATTATCATGAAAATAGTTTTCGCCTCACCGATTCCCAATAAAACTCTTTGAGACCTCCAGGAGTCCTGTGATCACACTGAGAAACACTAGCTTCGATAAAATAAATAGAGATGGCATTGTTGAATTAAATGATATATTTTCAGATCGAGGGGCAATTTTTATGACCAGATTGTTTAAGGGGTACTAGCTATGTAAGAACTAAAGGACTTTAACACATTTATTTGAAGACAACTTCTAGAACTCTTGGCTTAGTATGGTGAATATAAAGTAGAACTTTCATAGAATTTCCAGGGGAAAAAAAATATCTGAATTTGTTTTTTGCTAAGCTTCTCAGAACAGGGAAGTTAAACACAAAGCTATTGTTGGTCCCTCACTAAAGCATTATACCATTCCTTCTTGTAAAATTTTATTTCATGCCGATAAGTTTATGCTTCTTAATATAGAAATCAAGACCCTCCACAACCTTACTTTAACCTACATTTCCACCCATACTTCTTGGTTTCTTTTGCACATTCCTTTGTAGCAAGCAAATGGAAAACAAAGAAAAGCAGGGGTTGCAATCCTAGTCTCGACAAAAGAGACTTTAAGCCTACAAAGATCAAAAAAGACAAAGAAGGGCATTACATACTGCTAAAGGGACCAATTCAACAAGAAGAGCTAACTATCCTAAATATATATGTACCCAATACAGGAGCACCCAGACTCTTTTTTTTTTTTAATTGAGGAACAGAAAATGTTGCAGGAGAGGTGGCAAAAAAGGCTGTCTTGTACTATTTTCCAGTTGTTATGTATATCATTCTTATTTTCTCTAAAAAATATTTTCACTATGGTAGAGGCTATGACAAAAGCTCCACGATAAAATGGAATCATTCTAGGAGTTAAAGAGCAGAGAAAATTTGTATAGGTCAAAGACGGAAGAGGGAATGTCAGACTGAGACCACAAAGCAACCAAAAAGTAGGAAAGGGTGGCACACAGAAAAGCAGGGAAGATTTCTGTTCAGCTGGCACAAAGGAATGTGCAAAAGAAAGGCATAATGATAGCTAGATCATAAGTGATAATTAAACAGCTTTTAAAAACACTTGCCTTTTGTACTGTTATGCATGAGATCTAATGTTCTTGCATTCTTGACTTGAATGTGTATGTGAATGTATGCAATTTAAAGCAAGGTACACTACAAATATTTATAATCAAAAGAATAATAACTGGAAAAAAGAGAATGGTGTAAGTGTTTGAGCAACATCTAATATTTATTAGGTTCCCAATGCTTACTATGTTAACGTTTTTTTTCAGTTGAGGTAAGTGACATAGTATGTCCTTCAGAGGGTGGAAATTAACTCTAGGTTTTGAATAAAGTGAGGATTACTTATTCTGGCTCCTTCTACATCCTTATCCCTTCCAATAAATTATCCACAGTGAGTCGTATGCAATTCAATAGGCTCTCAGCAAATAATTTAGTCCTGTTTAATTAAGAACTAGATACTTTGACATCTGAATAAGTCAGCACCCTTTTTTTTTTTTTTTTGTAAAATGTCATAGCCACTCTATAATTAGGGCTACCACTGGAATACTGTTACATGAAGACCATTTTTTTGTACTCTATTAACATTAGTAGCTTTTCTAATCTTGGGCTGGTATCTCTCAGAGCAAGAGAGAAACAAATATACTGAAATGAGGAAAGCAGAATCTTGCTTGTATTAATTGCAATTAATTTTACTGAAGACTGACTATACTATTTTTAAAATTGTCAATCCCAACAAGTCTTCTGACTCTTGCAATAGTTAAGTCCTGAATAGTAAGTCTAAAACTAGGGAATGATCCTTTAAAGCTGACTTCAAGATAAAAATGAACAAACATTTTAAAGATTAATTTATATAATGACCCAAATCATATTGAGAGGAGGAATTAGTATATTATACTTGGGTGATAAAATTGATAATTCTTTGGTTTTTAAAATATAATGTCAGTCATGGCTATTGTGAGCATCAAGGAAGTTTTAATGTACTGTACAAATAAAAAATATTGTCTGTTACACTATGTTTCCAGAATTACAGACTAGTTTCCAGAAAACAACGACTTTCTAATGTGGTTTAGACCCACAACAAAGGCTCTTGAGTGCAGGGAAGACACAAACATAGAAGTTGATGGGAATAGGGCTTTTATTCTTCTAATTAGCCTAATGAATCCTAATAATTTCACTTCTGGATCCCCTGAAAAATCCCACTTTTTTTTTAATCCCAGAATTGAATTTTCCTATATATGGTAATTGCGAAGTTATTTTTAAACATTCAGTGTTTTCCCAACTACTTAATATACTTTATGTGGTTTCTGTTTCAAACTGCTCTTGGTTAAAATCAATGAGCCATACACATTACATTGAGAGATGCTCCATTTCGTACCATCCATCACTTATTGCCACTGCTATTTCATCTCAGTGCTTCACTGCTTATCTTATTAACAGAGATATTTTCTTGGTAGATTCTGCAGCATGCTAGGGTTGCTTGCCTTTAATTTTTACAGTGCTTAGATAATTGTGGCTTCTTAATATGATAATCTGAACCCTCTGTCCATAACTCAACTTCATTAGATCATGCTGATCTTTGTATACAAGCAAAATTGCTATAGTGAAAGTCTTCTTTCTACTCATTTCCCCCCATTGTTCTTTTCTCTTTGTTTTCCTATTTCATGCTCCTTCTATTCTGTTAACATCTGAAATATGCTAGGGGCTTATTTTTTCCTATCTGTTCTGTTCTAAAACCGCCTTCCACTAAGCGGAAAACTTCTTGAGTATGGAAACTACATATTATTAATATTTGTATCTGCTTCGTTTGTTAGTTAAACTCCATAAGCATTCAGTAACTGGTTTTGCATTATATAAATGTATAAGTAGATTCTATTTCATAGATGATAGAAAAATTAGGTGAATAGCTTTGGTCTCTATTACTTACATGGCAAAAAATTATTTTATGGTATGCTCAGTATCACTGGTCCCTTGGCAGGCGTGAAAACTATAAGTCCCTTTGCCTGTTTTAAGATTTGTATCTAAAAAATCAATATGAAGTCAGCCTGTACAGCCACACACATCTTAAACTTCTATAAAAAGTTAAAGAGTAGCTCTTCCAGGACTTTTTAATGATTTCCATTCTAACTGGTGTGAGATGGTATCTCATTGTGGTTTTGATTTGCATTTCTCTGATGGCCAGTGATGGTGAGCATTTTTTCATGTGTTTTTTGGCTGCATAAATGTTTATTGCGGCACTATTCACAATAGCAAAGACTTGGAACCAACCCAAATGTCCAACAATGATAGACTGGATTAAGAAAATGTGGCACATATATACCATGGAATACTATGCAGCCATAAAAAATGATGAGTTCATGTCCTTTGTAGGGACATGGATGAACATGTACCCTAAAACTTAAAGTATAATAATAATAAAATAAAATAAAATAGAGAATAGATTTTAAAATAAAGTGTGACTGATTTAAAAAAAAAAAAAGAGTAGCTCTTCCAGGAAATGTTTCTTGACTTGCTCCACAAGATCTGAGTAGGGAGGCTCTCCTATGTGCTTGCTCTTCAAGGCAGTGATTTTTGTCATAATGTGATTATCTGCTTCCTGGCATGCTTCTATCTCTGTACTTTGATTTATTCCTGTATCCCTAGTCTCTATCTGAGTATCTGATCCATAACAGGTATTCAGTATATATAAATGGAATGACTAAAGAGAATTTAGAATATCACAGAATCTGGAAACAACCATATCAACTCACCCTCTTTATGAAAATATGTCCTGTACTTTTGCAGGATAGAAGTTGATAATGGATTGAGTTTGAGCTTTAGTACAGTGATGATACTCATTATCATAGAATTTTAAGGTACATTAGTGATAATGTTAACAAATGAGCTTAATCAGGAACTGTTTTCTGGATCAGTGATCCTCAAAATAACATTTCAAGTAGGAGAAGAATAAAAGAACACCTAGAACATGCACTTGGGCAGACTAAAAATGTTCAGACAAAGCATATGGAATTTGGTATGATTGCCCAAGAAGTTACTTTTTTCTGTAATGGAAAATAACCGAGGGACATTTTTTAAAACACCTCCCAAAACCTAAAAATTCTTGAGATGGTCATGGAGTAACAGAAGCAGGAGTGGTTATTTCTCATTCCCAGGGTACATCTAAATATGATTTTATTCTTTCACTTTCAGTGACTTCTAACTTACAGCCAGCAGCCAAAAATGTGACAGCCTGGCCCTGTGCATGAAGGCATTGCTGTGTGCAGAAATGCACCATCTAGATCCCTCAGTGCCACCTCTCTCCTTCAATGATGAGGTAAGGCAGAGCACTAAGACCTTATTGGGATGGGAATTCTAAAGGTGTTTTACTCTCTGGGCAAAATATTCTCCATTAACATTGGAATCAGTTTTCAAATTCAGACACATGATTTGACTTTGAAAAAAATTTTGATGCTCATTGTATTTCAGTTTTCTTTATTTGAACATAGTGGAAAATCATCTTATTTTTCTATCTGTTCTAAAAATCTGAAAGAGTCAGATTTACTCCACCCAGGAGCCTGACTGCCTAAGTTCGAATACCAATTCTGCCATAATAAGCTGTGTTATCTTGAGCTAGCCACTGGCTCTCTGCTTTAGTTTAATCATTTGTAAAGTGGAAATATTCATGGTACCTAACTCATGGCATCGTGGTGAGGGTTACATCCATTAATACATAGTAAGTGCTCAGCAAGTATACCAGGTCAAAACAGTCACAGAGAGTGAGTAACTAAATAAGCCTCTAGATTTCTTCTCATTTACAGAACAAGACCTTCTGAATCATTCACCAGAGATCCCTGTTTGAATGAAATGCCCAATGGGGGCACAGGTTGTGGCAACTCTCCTACCAGATTCAGCACTCATGTTAACTAGGGCTTCCTAGGCACTGCTACACTTACGGAGGTCTACCTTTAATCTGTCATTCTCTTTTGCCTGTGGACATTTGTCTTGTGTCTAGAAAACTGGGCAATCTTCCCAGCCTCCTCCAAGCAACTAGTCTAATCAGCTTTATGATATTGCTGCTAGCTTACTTCTGAGCTGCTATTGCCCTGGGTTTGATACACTTCCTCTGCTCCATCTGATTCTGATCACTTCTCTTACTTAGCACTGTAGCTTACATTTTCAGGTTGGCTACTCAGGGTTATGTTGATTGTTGGTCAGTAAATCAAGCAAAAATGATTGGCATGTTGGGAAATTGACTTGAGAAGTTGGACTTAGTAGTTGTTATCTGAATTAAATAAACTTGGCAACTCCAAGCCCTGCACTGCTTCTTGAAAGAAATGATTATTTTAGAGCGATTATATCATTGCTACTAAAACAATAATAGGCATCATTTATGAATGTCTCCTATATGATAAATAGGGTGACATTAATTCCACAGCAACCCCAGAAGTTAGATGTCATTATCCAGTTTTCCAGGGCTAACAGATTCAGGAGATAAAACAATCCGTTTAGATCTAACTAGTTAGCAGCATGTGGGGGATTTGAAGCCATATGTTTCTTGCTATAAACCAAGTCACCAATAAGAAACAATGAAAATATTTTGTCGAAGTCTTTATTTTTCCAGTAAAATCTATGGTATCTCATTAACCATATTTTCTTCCCTGTGATATGTTTAAATATTCTTTCTCTACAAATGTACTTCAGATCCAAGGCCCTGTGCATTGGCTATTATGAATAAAATGGTTTTAGCTAACCAGCTCCCAACATAAAAAGAGCTGTCCAGTAGATCAAGCAACTACTAGAGAAGGCAGGACATAGATAATTAATTTCCTATGACTCTAGCCCATAAAAAGAGTCAGCTCAAATGTAGATTATTAATTAGACAAAAACCGTTTCCCTAATAATTTTATATGCCATTCTTTTGGTTAGGTATTTTTTCATTGATTAGCAATTAATTGATTAATTTGTTTATACATCAAATATCAGAGTTATATTTACCTTCTGCCAAGTTCTCTATTAGGTAATATAAATGATATAAGTAATATATGCCCTTTATACCTTATATTCTACCAGAGGCAAGATGGACAATAAGCAAACAAATATATCAGTGATGGTAAATGTTATAGGAAAAAAATTAAGGAGATAACTCTTTGAAAAGAGAAAGTGATGAAAATTTAAATAGATTGGACAAGCAAGGCTTGTTGACATCTCTAAGGCCTGAAGATGAGCCATAAGCGTGACTGTGTAAAAATTACTCTAGGCAGAGCAAATGACAAGTGCAAAGGCCCTGTGGAAATGCTTTGCGTAATGTTTTTAAAAAGTATTAAGGAGGCCAGCATGGATGGACTATAATATGAGTAAATAGGAGAGTAGTAAGAGATAAGAGAGAAGTATCAGGAAGGCTAGATTGTGTGGAGCTTTGAAAGCTATTTTGAAGAAATTGGCTTTTATTGTAAGTGTTATGAAAGCTATTGAGAGATTTTGATCAGAGGAGTAATAGGATTTGATTTGTGTTTAATGATTACTTTGGCTGTTATGTTGAGAATATAGGGTGAGGAAGGGTCAAGGGCTTAAGCAAATACCAGTTATGAGATTATTACAATAATCTAGGTAAGAGATGATGGGAGTGGTGAAAAGTGTGGGAATACTTATTAATTTTTACTAGAACAAAAGGATGTCCTGATGGATTGTAATTAAGGTATGGGAATAAGACAGATGTCAAGGAGAATTCCAGGGTTCTTGGCCCAAGCATCTTGAGGGGTGTGGTTGCAATTTACTGAGAGATAGGGAAGACAGCGGGAAGAGAAGGATTACAGAACCACTAAATCAGTTTTGGATATGTTTGTGAAGTATATGATTCCTATTAGATTTGCAAGTGGAAAAGCTAATAGGCAGGGTTTTGGAGGTCAGGGGAGAGGTCCAAGCTGGAAATGTAAATTGGGGGTTATCAGCATATAGATTATGTTTAAAAGGTGTGAAAATTTTTTATATATACTTTAAGTTCTAGGGTACATGTGCACAACGTGCAGGTTTGTTACATATGTATACATGTGCCATGTTGGTGTGCTGCACCCATTAACTCGTCATTTACATTATGTATATCTCCTAATGCCTTCCCTCCCTGCTTCCCCAACCCTACAACAGGCCCCAGTGTGTGATGTTCCCCTTCCTGTGTCCAAGTGTTCTCATTGTTCAATTCCCACCTGTGAGTGAGAACATGTGGTGTTTGGTTTTTTGTCCTTGTGATAGTTTGCTGAGAATGATGGTTTCCAGCTTCAACCATGTCCCCACAAAAAAAGGATGAACTCATCCTTTTTTATGGCTGCATAGAATTCCATGGTGTATATGTGCCACATTTTCTTAATCCAGTCTATCATTGATGAACATTTGGGTTGGTTCCAAGTCTTTGCTATTGTGAATAGTGCCGCAATAAACAAACGTGTGCATGTGCCTTTATGGCAGCATGATTTATAATCCTTTGGGTAGATACCTAGTAATGGGATGGCTGGGTCAAATGGTATTTCTAGTTCTAGATCCTTGAGGAATCGCCACACTGTCTTCCACAATGGTTGAACTGGTTTACAGTCCCACCAACAGTGTAAAAGTGTTCCTATTTCTCCACATCCTCTCCAGCATCTGTTGTTTCCTTACTCTTTAATGATCGCCATTCTAACTGGTGTGAGACGGTATCTCATTGTGATTTTGATTTGCATTTCTCTGATGGCCAGTGATGATTAGCATTTTTTCATGTGTCTTTTGGCTGCATAAATGTCTTCTTTTGAGAGTGTCTGTTCATATCCTTCGCCCACTTGTTGATGGGGTTGTTTGCTTTTTTCTTGTAAATTTGTTTGAGTTCTTTGTAGATTCTGGATATTAGCCCTGTGTCAGATGAGTAGATTGCAAAAATTTCCTCCCATTCTGTAGGTTGCCTGTTCACTCTGATGGTAGTTTCTTTTGCTGTGCAGAAGCTCTTTAGTTTAATTAGATCCCATTTGTCAATTTTGGTTTTTGTTGCCATTGCTTTTGGTGTTTTAGACATGAAGTCCTTGCCCATGCCTATGTCCTGAATTGTATGCCTAGGTTTTCTTCTAGGGTTTTTATGGTTTTTAGGTCTAACATGTAAGTCTTTAATCCATCTTGAATTAATTTTTGTATAAGGTTTAAGGAAGAGATCCAGTTTCAGCTTTCTACATATGGCTAGCCAGTTTTCCCAGCATAAAAGGTGTGAAAAAACAGCTCTGTACTATTCCAGTCATTAGGCCTTGGAGCTTTCTTATCTATACTTCGTCCCTTAAAAGGTATGAAAATTAATGTAATTTGTAAGGGACTAAGTATAGATAAGGAAGCTCCAAGGCCTAATGACTGGAATAGTACAGAGCTGTGATCGGCATTAGTCAGATGTGGCTACTAAAAGTTAACATTTAAATTAATTAAAATTAGGTTGAAATTTCAGTTCCTCTGGTGCAATTGTTACTTTTCAAGTCTTGATAGCCACATCTGGCTAATAACTACAATATCTGAGAATTGAACTATTGAACATTTTCATAATGCAGAATAATCTACTGGGAAGCTCTTATGGAGACAGGGAAGATAAGGAGAATCCAATAATGGAAACCAAAAAGGAACAAATTTAAATATAATGACCTAGAGGTTAAATGAAAAACTGTATCAGGAAGAATGAAGCAATGAACTGGTGATAGGTCTAGTAGAATGAAAGCTGAGAATTGGTCATTGGATTAATCAGTGCAGAGGTCACTGGTCATTTCTTCACCATGCTGGGAACAAAGAACTAATTGGAGTAAGTTCAAAGAAGAATGAGAATATATATATATATATATATATATATATATATATATATATATATATATTAGTAAATGTCAACTACTTTTTCAAAGATTTCTGCTGGAAGCAGAGAAAGAAGCTAGTATGTAGAGGAGGAATATGAGATTGCGAGAACATTTTTTCCTAATATAGGAAGATTAAACATATTAATGCATATATTTTAATCAAATCAGCCAGAACAAAGAGAAAAATATGATGATATAGGAGGAGAAAGGAGAAGGAGAGGAATGAGAATGTAACTTAAGCAATGTCCTTGCATAGATAAGAAGGGAATGAAATCTAGTATAGAAGTATAGTAGTGAATTGAATAAGACCCAAAGAATAGTCAAAGAACACAGATGCAAGTGAAACTTAAATGTGAGGCTGTGAGAGTTCTCTTCTTATTCCCCTACTTTCTCAAGAAAATAGGAATCAAGGTCATCAGCTGAGAGCAAAGAAAGGAGAGATAGTGTTGTATGAAGAGAGAGGAGAATGCATAAAAGAATTGCTTGGCAAAGTGGGAGAGTGAACTGATTAGCAAATGTAATGCAATTGCTGTGGGGTGATACTGAAAATCCTTTTGTGACAAGTGATTATGATTCTATAGAGTGAGAACATGAAGCATTTGTATATTTGACTCTAGCTATGTTCACCTGCATTTTGTAAGAACCGGTAGAGAGTTAAATTTTACTAGAATAAGTCAAAGTGAGGGGGTTAAAATTATATATCAAAGGGAGTTATTATAGTGATATATTATGAATTTTAAGCTGTGTCACTTGGCAAGTGAGGACATAAGGGTGAAAAGGGACAGTGTATTGATGGTAGAATCAATAGGTTATGTGTACTGGATGGAGAGTTGAAAAATAGTAGGAGCGAGGTATTAGTGAGAGTAATGAGCTAAGAGAAAGATAGGAGGTAAAAGTCAAAGAACAGTAAGCTTAGAACAGAGATTATGGAATGGGTGCAGTAATTGGTAGTGACACATTCAAGAGTGTGACTGTGGGAGTGGTTAGCTAAGGTATAATGGAGATCAAGATATTTGGAGAAAAGGAAGGAGGTCAAGTTACCAAGAAACCAGGATGCTGGAAGAATTATTTGTGTGGATATCTAAATAATGAAAAAATAAGACTGGTGTCATAATAAGAAAGTAGTTAAAATCTATAATGCTTGTAATATGTTCTTTGTTAAATAAATATTTATTGAGTATTTCAATAGCATAATATTGTAGACCCTGGAGACAGGATACATATGATTTCTTCCCTTATGGTGTTTTCCAGCCCAAGAAGTGCAAGGTGGTATTAAAACAAATTAAATTGTAATTGCATTTTCATTACTGGTTGAAATGATTGGAATGATGCTTAATGAACTAGCTATTTTATCTACAGATAATTTTCATATTTTGTGTACATAGCAATTTTTTGTTTTGAATTTTTAGTACAGTAAGTGTAGTAATTTAGGAATGGGACTTTGAAAATGAAAAACTAAGAAAAATAGCATAAAAATATTTCCTTTGATTACACCATTTTTACAAGTAAAAAGAGTAACTGTACCTGAATATAGAATCTGCTATATTATAATTCTATAATTCCGTTTCCATGTATTTACTATCACATTAACCATTGAATTATAAGTTATATTGTTTCTTTCATAGCAGTCATTTTCTACATGACTTTATTTTTTATTATACTTTAAGTTCTGGGATACATGTGCAGAACTCGCAGGTTTTTTACATAGGTATACACATATGATGGTGGTTTGCTGCACCCATCAACCCATCATCTACATTAGGTATTTCTCCTAATGCTATCCCTCCGCTAGCCCCCCAACCCCCGACAGGCCCTGGTGTGTGATATTCCCCTCCCTGTGTCCATCTGTTCTCATTGTTCAACTCCCATTTATGAGTGGGAACATGTGGCGTTTGGCAATAATTAGTTTGTGCATTCTATTTCCTGCCATGACTACCACTGATGGACTGAGTAAATTGTCCTTTCTTTTAGTTATTCTCTTAGATTTTCTAATTAGCATAGAATTAAAGTTAAGACACAGATCAACTTGCTAAAAAAAAGATAAGCTTTGAACATTGAGGCAACATACATAAATATTGGGGGCACTTATAGTCTAATAGCTTTTCTTAAAGCAATATCTTACCAAATCAATACATAAATAATAAAGATAATAAATTTTAATTCGCTTTTCCCTGATGACATATGATGGGAAGCATCTTTTTATATGCTTATTTGCCATCTGTATATCTTTTTTTAAATTATACTTTAAGTTCTAGGATACATGTGCAGAATGTGCAGGTTTGTTATATAGGTATACCGTGCTATGGAGGTTTGCTGCACCCATCAACCCGCCATCTACATTAGGTATTTCTCCTAATGCTATCCCTCCCCTGGTGGCCCACCCCCTGACAGGCCCCAGTGTGTGATGTTCCAATCCTGTGTCCATGAACAATGAGAACACATGGACATGGACCTTGATGGAAAACAGTATGGAGATACCTTAAAGACCTAAAAGTACATCTACCATTTGATCCAGCAATCCCACTACTAGGTATCTACCCAAAGGAAAATAAGTCACTATATAAAATAGACACTTGCACATGTATGTTTATAATGGCAAAACTCACAATTGCCAAGACGTGAAACCAACCTAAGTACCCACTGACTAATGAGTAGATAAAGAAATGTGGTATGTATATATACACACACATACACACACACACACATACACACACACCATGGAATACTACTCAGCCATTAAAAGGATTGAAATAATGGGTTGAAATAAAGGATTGAATAATTCTGAAATTTTAGTCCACCTATCACCCAAGTACATTGTACATTGTGTACATTGTACTAACGTGTAGTTTTGTTTCTGTGTTAGTTTGCTCAGTGTTCCCTTTTTCCCATATCCACTGCAGCATTTATTTATTTATTTATTTTCACTTTTAAATAATGGCAATTCTTGCAGGAGTAACGTGGTATCTCATTGTGATTTCAATTTGCATTTTCCTGATACCTAATGATGTTGAGTATTTTTTCATATGTTTGTTGGCCATTTGTATATATTCTTTTGAGAATTGTGTATTCATGTCCTTAACCCACTTTTTGATGGGATTGTTTGTTTTTTTCTTGTTGATTTGTTTGTTTGAGTTCCTTCTAGATTCTGGTTATTAGTCCTTTGTCAGATGCATAGTTTGCAAATATTTTCTCCCACTCTGTGGATTGTCTATTTCTTCTGCCAACTAATTCTTTTGCTGTGCAGAAGCTTTTTAGTTTAATTAAGTCTCATCTATTTATCTTTGTTTTTGTTGCATTTGCTTTTCTTGATCATTAAGTCTTTGCCTAAGTCAATGCCTAGAAGAGTTTTTCTGATCTTATCGTCTAGGCTTTTTATGGTTTCAGGTCCTAGATTTAAGTCTTTGATCCATCTTGAGTTGATTTTTGTATAAGGTAAGAGATAAAGATCCAGTTTTATTCTTCTACATGTGGCTTGCCAGTTATCCCAGCACCATTTATTAAATAGGGTGTCCTTTCCCCAGTTTATGTTTTTGTTTGCTTTGTTGAAAATCAGTTGGCTATAAGTATTTGGCTTTATTTCTGGGTTCTCTATCCTGTTCCATTGGTCAAAGTACATATTTTTATACCATTACCATGCTATTTTGGTGACTATAGTCTTACAGTACAGTTTGAGGTCAGGTAATATAATTCCCCCAGATTTGTTCTTTTTGCTTCATCTTGCTTTGGCTATGCATGCTCTTTTTTGGTTCCATAAGAATTTTAGGATTGTTTTTTCTAGTTATGTGAAGAATGATGGTGGTATTTTGATGGGAATTACATGGAATTTGTAGATTGTTTTTGGCAGTATGGTCATTTTCACAATATTGATTCTACCCACATATGATCATGGGATGTGTTTCCATTTGTGTCACCTATAATTTCTTTCAGCAGTGATTTGTAGTTCCTTTTGTAGAGGTCTGTCACCTCTTTGGTTATGTATATTCCTAAGAATTTTTTTTTTTTTGCAGCTATTGTAAAAGGTGGTGAGTTCTTGATTTGATTCGCAGCTTGGTTGTTATTAGTGTATAGCAGTGCTACCAATTTGTATGCATTAATTTTGTGACCTGAAACTTTACTGCTTTAGTTTATCAAATCTAGGAGCTTTTTGGATGAGTCTTTAGGGTTTGTGCATATATGATCATATCATCAACAAACAGCAACAGTTTTCCTTCCTCTTCACCAATTTGGATGCCCTTGATTTATTTCTCTTGTCTGATTGCTCTGGCTAGGATTTCCAGTACTATGTTGAATAAAAGTGGTGAAAGTGGGCATCCCTGTCTTGTTCCAGTTTTCTAGGGGAATGCTTTCAACTTTTTCCGGTTCAGTACAATATTGGCTGTGGGCTTGTAATAGATAGCTTTTATGACCTTAAGGAATGTCCCTTGCATGCCGATTTTGCTGAGGGTTTTAATCATAAAGTGATGCTGGATTTTATCAAATGTTTTTTCTGCATCTATTTAGATGATCATATGATTTTTGTTTTTAATTCTTTTTATGTGGTGTAGCACATTTATTGGCTTCCATATGTTAAACCATCCTCTCATCTCTAGTATAGAACCCACTTGATCATGGTAGATTATCTTTTTGATATGCTGTTGGATCCAGTTATCTAGTATTTTGTTGAGGATTTTTGCACCTATGTTCATCACAGATATTGGCCTGTAGTTTTCTTTTTTTGTTATGTCCTTTCCTGGTCTTGGTATTAGGGTGATAGTGGCTTCATAAAAAGATTTAGAGAAGATTTCCTCTTTCTCTATCTCTTGGAATAGTTTCAGTAGAATTGGTACCAATTATTCTTTGAATATCTGATACAATTCAGCTGTGAATCCATCTGGTCCTGGACTTTGTTCTGTTGGCAATTTTTTTTTATTATTTCAATCTCACAGCTTGTTATTGGTCTGTTCAGAGTTTCTATTTCTTTCTGGTTTAATCTAGGGGAGTTGTATATTTCCAGGAATGTAACCAGGTTTTGTAGTTTGTGTGGATGAATGCGTTTATAGTAGCCTTGAATAACCTTTTGTATTTCTGTGATATCGGTTGTAATCTTTCCCATTTTGTTTCTAATTGAGCTTATTTGGATCTTCTCTCTTCTTGGTTAATCTTCCTAATCATTTATCAATTTTGTGTATCTTTACAAAGAACCAGCTATTTGTTTCATTTACCTTTTTTATTTTTTTTTGTTTCTATTTCATTTAGTTCTGCTCTGATCTTTGTTATTTCTTTTCTTCTGCTGGGCTTGGGTTTGGTTTGTTTTTTTTTTTCTCTAGTTCCTCGAGGTGTGACTTTAGATTGTCTATTTGTACTCTTTCAGACTTTTTGATGCAGGCATTTAATGCTATGAACATCCCTTTTAGCACTGCTTTTGCTGTATCCCAGAAGTTTTGATAGGTTGTGTCACTATTATTGTTCAGTTCAAGGAATGATTGAATTTCCTTCTTTAATTTCATTGTTGACACAATGATCATTCAGGAGCAGTTTATTTAATTTCCAAGTATATGCATGGTTTTGAGGGTTCCTCAAACCATGGAGTTGATTTCCGATTTTATTCTACGGTGGTCTGAGAGAGTACTTGCCATAATTTCAGTTTTCTTTTTCTTTTTTTTTTTTTTTTTTTTTTTTTTGAGAGGGTCTCACGCTGTTGCCCAGGCTGGAGTGCAGTTCCGCCTCCCAGGTTCACTCCATTCTCCTGCCTCAGCCTCTCAAGTAGCTGGGACTACAGGCACCCACCACCACACCCGGCTATTTTTTCCTTTTGTATTTTTAGTAGAGATGGGGTTTCACCATGTTAGCCAGGATGGTCTCAATCCCCTGACCTCCTGATCCCCCCGCCTCAGCCTCCCAAAGTGCTGGGATTACAGGCATGAGCCACCGCATCCAGCCCAGTTTTCTTAAATATGTTGACACTTGTTTTGTGGCCTATCATATGATCTGTCTTGGAGTATGCTTCATGTACTGATGAATGCAATGTATATTCTGCAGTTGTTGAATATAATTTTCTTTAAATATCTGATAAGTCCATTTGTTCTAGAGTATACTTTAAATCCATTGTTTTGTTGTGGTTGTTGTTGACTTTCTGTCCTGATGACTTGTCTAGTGCTGTCCGTGGAGTATTGAAGTCCCCCACTATTATTGTATTGCTGTCTATCTCATTTCCCAGGTCTAGAAGTAACTGTTTATACATTTGGGAACTCCAGTGTTAGGTGCATATATATTTAGGATTGTTATATTTTCCTGTTGGACTAGTCCTTTTACCATTATATAATATGCTCTTTTGTCTTTTTTAACTATTGCTGTTTTAAACCTTGTTTTGTCTGACTTTAAAAGCTACTCCTGCTTGCCTTTGGTCTCCATTTGCATGGAATATCTTCTTCCACCCCTTTACCTTAAGTTTATAACAGTACACATAATTCTGTCAGAAACTACCAAACTGTCTTCCAAAACATCTGTATCATTTTCCATTCCCACCTTTAATGAATGAGTGTTTGCTGGCATTTGGTATTTTCAGTGTTTTGGAGATTGCTCTCTTTAATAGGTGTGCATCTCAATGATGTTTTAATTTATAATTCCCTAATGACATATGATGTTGAACATCTTTTCATATGCTTCCTTGTCATCTCTATATCTTCTTGCTGACATACCTGTTCAGATCTTTTCCCTATATTTTAATCTGGTTGTTTGTTTCTCATTGTTGAGTTTTAAGAGGGCTTTGTATATTTTAGATAACTTTTTTTTATCAGATGTGTGCTTTGCTAATATTTTCTCCCAGTCTTTGGCTTGTTTTCTTATGTTCTTGAAATTGTCTTATACAGAGTATTAAGTTTTGCTTTTAATAAAGTCCAGCTTACCAATTAGCTCATGTCTTTGATGTTATATTCAAAAAGTCATCACCAAACCCAAGGCCATCTTAATTTTCTTCTATGTTATCTTGTAAGAATTTTATAGTTTTGTACTTTGCATTTAGGTCCCTTGTCCATTTTGAGCAATGTTTTGTGAAGAATGTAAGAACTGTGTCTGGATTTTTTTTTTTTTTTTGGCATACAGATATCCAGTTGTTCCAGTACCATTTGTTAAAAGTCTATCTTTAACTTCATTTTATTGCCTTTGTTTCTTTGTCAAAGATTGGTTATCTTTATTTATGTAGATTTATTTCCAGGCTTTTAGTTCTGCTCCATTTATCTATTTTGTCGGTTTCAACCAATACCACGCTGTCATTATTACTATAGCTTTATAGGAAATCTTACAGTCATGTAGTATCACATGGAGGCAACCGTGTTCTCTTGAATATTCAGTTGGCTACTCTGAGTCTTTTGCCTTCCCATATGAAATTTGGGATTACCTTGTAAACACCCACAAAATAACTTGCTGGGATTTTTAATTGGCTTGAATCTGTAGATCAAGGTGTAAAATACGAAATCTTGACAATATTGAGTCTTCCCATTTATGATCATGAAATATTTCTCCACATATTTAGTTCTTTGAAATCTTTCATCAGAGTTTTGTAATTTTCCTCATATAGCTCTTATACATGTTTTGTAAGATTCATATCTAAGTATTTTATTTTGGGAGGAGTGCTAACATAAGTGGTAAAGTGGTCTTAATTTCAAATTATACTCATTTATTTTTGTTATAAAGGTAAGTGATTGATTCTTGTATACTAACCTTGCATCCTGCAATCTTGCTATAATTGCTTATTAGTTCCAAGAAGTTTTTTTTTCAATTCCTTCAAATTTTCCATGAAGTTGATCTTGTAAAGTGTAGACAAACACAGCTTTATTTCTTCCTTCCCAATCTGTACGCCTTTTATTTCCTTTTCTTCTCTAATCAAGTTAGCTAGGACTTTCAGTACAATGTTGAAAAGTAGTGGTGAGAGAGGACATCCCTGCCTTGTTCTTGATCTTAGAAAGCTCTAAGTTTCTTACCATTAACTATGATATTAGCTGTAAAGTTTTTTTGGTAGATATTCTTAATCAAGTTGAGGAAATTCCCCTGTATTCCTAGTTGACTGATAGTTTTTGTCATAAGTAGGTGTTGGGTCTGTCAAATACTTTTTTCACATATGTGGATAAGTTCGTGTGATTTTTCTGTTTTAGCTTGTTGATATGATGCAATACATTAATTGATTTGTGGATGTTGAAGCTATCATGCGTACTTAGGATAAATGCCACTTGATCATAGTTTATCATTCTTTTTATACAGTGTTGGACTTAATTTTCTAATATTTTGTAGAAGTTTTTTGCATCTATGTTTATGAGATATATTACTCTACAGTTTTCATTTCTCGTAATGTCCTTGCCTGGTTTGGGTATTAAAATAATGCTGGCCTGGTAGAATGAGTGGGCAGTATTACTTTGCCTTTATATTTTGGAAGAGACTATAGAGAAATCCAGCTTCCATTTTATGGCAGAAAGACAGGATTTTCACTTCTGTCCCTGCCTAATTTGTTTCCATGAAAAGAATTGTGTCAATTGAATTTTTTTTCCTTTCTTGTTCTAAACAACTTTGACAATGGACACCATCATTATTTGGTAAACCCAGTGCACATGATTCTGACACGGAATTTTAAGTGAGTAAAATACATTTCATTATTAAAAAGAAGATCTGAACATTATCTGTCCATTTAAAAATCTGGGAAGTCTAATCTAGTCTGCTCAAGTGATTTTATACCCTTTAACTCATCCCAGGGGATCTCAGAAGTGACTCAAGAAGATATAAATATAACTAAATGTCAGCAAGTTCCTTATGTAACATTCTTAATTAATTTTAAATCATTTATTTCTCTGCTGAAATTACACCCTGTACCATCATCCAGTAAAAGTTGTTTTCAATGGATTTGGAGTTCATTTTTTTTCCACCTTGACTTTCAGAACTCAGGACACTGGGGATTAAGTCAAAGGGTAGGTCTTGATTGCACCAGTGTTAGTTTGTCCAGTCTGTACCATCCCTTTCTTGATATTCCCTGTCTTCTCTTCCTTACTTCAAAGGCTTATACTGAAGACATTCATGTTGCAATACACATCTATAATCAGCCTGCCCTAAATGGTGTCTTTCTCCATGGTCTTGGAGTCTAAATGGCTCTTTGACTAGGTTTTCCAGTAACCAACAAATAAGAGAATAGAAGTAAATTCACTATTGTGAAATTTATGGAAATATAATTTTTAAAATTTATCATACTAGCCGGAAGAATAATGCCTGAAATCAGTTCAGTCTCTTTGAATCCAAGTCTAAGTCCCAGGATTTATTTTAAAGACATGTGTGTGTCTTTTGGAATCCTAAGGGGGAGATAAATATAGCTGGAATTGAAGAAGGAATTAGTTAATAAATTAAAAATCCATGAGAACTAAATGTTTCATCGTTTGTCTTTTCAAATTTGTGTCTCTTCCTATAGCTGTTTTCTTTGCTTTTCCAGTCACTTTGTGGTGACTGCCTGGCAATTTGAGGGTGATAATTAATCACACCCCTTTCTCCTTATGGGAAACCAATTTTAGAGTTGTAGGAATCATACAGATGAAGATAAAAATATTTATTCCTGATAAGACTGGATTAGAGAATATGCGTTGGATTTAAGGCCAAATGGACTTTCTACAATTTTACTTCCTAAACTAAACCCTCTCAGAGATACAGCTCTCATCCCTGCAGGGACAGAGTCTTTCCAGGAAACTTACATAAAGAAAAAGGTGAGGAAAGGAGATTCTAGGGAGAGGAGCTACAAGGTTTTATCTCTGCTCAATAGAAAAGTAAGGGACAATGAAGGCCAGTCTCACTATCTAACCATGCAGCTAAATGATTATAAGTAATGGGTGAAAGGGGGACTGAAAGTGTTATTCTGGAGAAAGCTACCTGTGAGAACAAAAGGGTGTGCATTTCTTCTCAAAGCAATCATTTAATCCTATTTTTAAAAACCTGATGAAAAAAATCATAGTTACTTAGTTTGAATCAGTTGTTTTCAGCTTCAATCAGTGAGGGCCTGAGGTAGATGTACTATACAGGACAAATTTCACTGCCAGAAACAACCTTCGTTGGAACTGGGGGCAGGACGCCAAAGAAAAGCAAAAGTTTGAGCTCACTAGACCCCTTCAAAATGTCTAATACATGCCTCTACTACCCGCAAATGAATAAAACACTTCTTTGGTCACTTGGTGTATTCATATAATTTGTTACTTATAGAAAAAATGCAAATATAATACAACAAACTCCCAGGTGTATCAGTGGTTTACATATTGTCCCAGTTGCTTTATCATTTTTCTCTCTATATGTGTATTTTTCTGAATTATTTATTTCTGAACCTTGAAAGACAGTTAGAGATACTATATACCCTTATTACTATTTAGTGTGTTTTTCTTAAGAAAAATGAGATTTTTTAACAGAACCAAAGAATAGTTATCATAATCAGGAAATTTAACATTAATATAATACTATTATTTAATCTAGAGTTTATATTCAAATTTAAAAAATTTTTCTCAATAACATTCTTTATGGCATTTTTTTTCTGCAGAACAGAATTTCTTTCAGGATTCTATATTGCATTTAGTTGTCAAATCTCTTGTCTCCTTTAATGTGGAACAATTCCTTAGCTTTTCTTTGGCTTTCTTGAACTTGACATTTTTGTGGTGTACAGGCAGTTATTTTGTAGAATGTCCCTGATTGTTGTCTGATGTTTCCTTAGAATGAGATCATGCATTTTTGGTCAGGAAAATCACCGACATAAGGCTGTTTTTCTTAATGCATTATATAAGGAGGCCTATGATATCAGTTTCTCCCAATTAGCTTTGATTAATTGGTGAAAGTGATAACTGCTAGGCTTTTCTATTGTAAATTTTCTATTTTTTTCCAATTTATTAATGCATAATATGTGAGAAGACATTTTGAGATGATGCAAGTTTCCTGTTTGTAATCAAATTTTCACCTACTTGTTTTATCATCTACTAGCCTCAATGCCATATATTTATTAGTATTCATGCTATTGTAGAGAAGAGTTTGTAATCCTGTTTGTAATCAAAATTTCACCTACTTGTTTTATCATCTACTAGCCTCAATGCCATATATTTATTAGTATTCATGCTATTGTGGAGAACAGTTTTTCCTTTCCCCCTAAATATTTTATCTGTTCACCCTATTTTTATACATATGGCCTAATTCACTCTTATTTTGTGAAATGGGTCATAGCATTTACATTTACTATTGCTATTTATCTCCATGTTTAAATTATTCAAGATCTGGCCAGTAGGAATCCCTTCCAACTAACTCTTGGGTCTCCTTATTATGGCCTCATCATTTTTGTGTACTTTAAAGTTTTTTGCTCCAGCAAGACGCTCCAGGCTCAGTTTATATTTTCTCTGCCTCAGCTCTGCACATAACAACCCGGTTTCCTTTTAATGGAGAGTCTGTTCATTTCAACAGACTCGTTGCAAGTGGTATGTCATTGTTTCTAAAAGAGCTAAGAAAAAGATAAATATAGGTATATATATTTCTATAAATTATACATTCCCATATTCAATATATTAAAAATCATGGGTGCATACTGGTACAATTCCAATCCAAAACCATAGAGTGTATTTTAGTATTTGTCATTTATGTATTTATATAAAATACTACTGTGAACGAAACTTCAGAGTTCAATATTTATTGTCAGTTATTTTTGGTAATATTTACATACAATGAAATGTAAAAAGGTTGTGTTCAATTTGATGGAGTTTGACAAATGAGTTCACCTATGTAACCCATATCTTATTAAGACATAGAGTATTTTCTTTGTCTTAAAATGTTCTTCATTTCCCTTTCTAATTTTTTTCACCATATATTAATTTTAGCTGTTCTGGAACTTCACGTAGATGAAATTATAATTTGCACTCTATGTGTATGGCTTCTTTTTGCTCAACATGTCTATGAAATTTATCCATGTGTTTTGTGTAATATCAGTGTAGTAGTTCATTCTTTCATGGCTACTAATATTCCATTGCATAAATATGCCATATTTTTAAAATCCATTCTCCAATATGTGGGTAGTTTTTTATACAGCTCCTATAAACCATACTGTTTTCATTTTCCTTGAGTGCATAATTATGAGTGGAATTGCTAAGTCATAGAACAGAATATGTTTAACTTTGTTAAAAACTGTCAAGCTATTTTACAACATTGTTTTATCATTTTATGTTTCTACCAGCAATGTATGAGAGTTCCAGTTGCTCTGCAATCTTATCAATGCTTGATATTGTCAATATTTTTTATTTTAGCTATTTCTGGTGTGTCTTATGGAATTTCATTGTGGTTTTAATTTATATTTTCCTGGTGATTGATGATGTTGAGTATCTCTTATACACGAATTAACCATTCGTATATCTTTCTTTGTGAACTAGGTATTCACTTCTTAGTTCTTTTTAAAAACTACTTTCTACCACATATGCATTCTAAATAAAGTCCTTTGTCAGACATAGTACAAATATTTTCTCACAATCCATTGCTTGCCTTCTTATTTTCTTAGTGATATAATTTGATAAGCAGATGTTTGAATTTTTGACAGTTTAGCTTATACATTGTTTTCATTTTATGGTTCTTTCTTTCTTTCTTTCTTTCTTTCTTTCTTTCTGTCTCTCTCTCTCTGTCTCTCTTTCTTTCTTCTTCTTCTTTTTTTTTTTTTTTTGACATAGTTTCGCTCTTGTTGCCCAGGCTGGAGTGCAATGGCACAATCTCAGCTCACCACAACCTCCGCCTCCCAGGTTCAAGTGATTCTCCTGCCTCAGCCTCCCAAGTAGCTGGGATTACAGGCGTGTGCCACCATGCCCGACTAATTTTGTATTTTCAGTAGTGACGAGGTTTCTCCATGTTGATCAGGCTGGTCTCAAACTCCCGACTTCAGGTGATCCGCCCGCCTCGGCCTCTCAAATTGCTGGGATTACAGGCGTAAGCCACTGCGCCCAGCCTATGGCTATTGCTTTCTGTGTGCTGTCCAAAACACCTTTGCCTATCTAAAGTCACAATCTCCTACGTTTTATTCTAGAAGCATTACATATTTAGCTTCCATATTTACACATATATTACTATCTAGAATTAATGTTTGTGTATACTGTGAGGTAAGGGTTGAGAGTCTTTTTATTCTGTATAGATATCCAGTTCTTCTAGCACCATTTGTTGAAATACTTTAATCCTCCATTGTAGTTGTATTGGTGTCTTGGTCAAAAATTAATTAATTGTATATGTGTAGATCTATTTCTAGATCCTATTCCTTCATGATCTTAAGCCAATATTATACTATCTTTTTTATACTATCTTGATCAGTGAAGTTTTATACTAATTCTTGAAAGTTGCTATAAAAACGTGAATTCTCAATATATTCTTTTTTTTTTTTTTTTTTTTTTGAGACGGAGTCTCGCTCTGTCACCCAGACTGGAGTGCAGTGGCGCGATCTCGGCTCACTGCAAGCTCTGCCTCCCGGGTTCACGCCATTCTCCTGCCTCAGCCTCCCGAGGAGCTGGGACTACAGGCACCCGCCACCAAGCCCAGCTAATGTTTTTGTTTTTAGTAGAGACAGGGTTTCACCGTGTTAGCCAGGATGGTCTCTATCTCCTGACCTTGTGACCCACCCGCCTTGGCCTCCCAAAGTGCTGGGATTACAGGCATGAGCCACCACTCCCAGCCAACAAATTCTTTTTAGGGATTGTATTGGCTAGTCTAGGTCCATTGGGTTTTGATTTTTAAAAGTTGGAAATAGCTTGTCCATTTCTATTTTTTTAATATCTCTGGATTTATGTTTGGGGTTGCAGTAAACTTACAAATCAATTTGAAGAGAATTGATAACTTACAAATATTCAGTAATTTTACCCATGCAAATGTTATAACTCCATTTATTTGTCTTTTTAAAATTTTCTGCAGTATTTTTAAAGTTTCCAATATAGAGGCCTTTCAATTTATTTAATGCATTCCTATGTAATTAGCATTTTTAGCGATATAATCAAGATAAATTATTAAAATTCCATTTTCAAATTTTTCTGCTATGATACTGAAATACATGGATTTTAATTTAGTTCTTGTATCCTGTAATCTTCATAAATTTACATAGTAGATTTAATAGTTCTTTTAAATCTACTTAGAGTTGAGAATCTGGCATGCTGGACAAATCTAAGCCCACGTTTATTTTTTTAAAATAAAGTTTTATTGAAACACAGACATGCCCATCCATTTACTTATTTGCTATGGCTGCTTTAACACTATGAAAAAGTTGAATAGCTGCAATAGAGACCATATATATATATATATATATATATATATATGTCTATATATAATATATTATATATACAATTATATATATTATACAGATATATATTATATTATATATATTATACAGATACATGCACATATATATGTCTATATATTATATATAGATATAATATCGATATTATATATAGATATATCGATAATATATAGATATTATATCGATATTATATATAGATATAATATCGATATTATATATAGATATAATATCGATATTATATATAGATATAGCTATAGATATTATATATAGATATAGCTCTAGATATTATATATAGATATATATAATATCTATATTATATATGGACATATATAGATATATATTATATATAGCTATATATTATATATATAGATATCGATATATAATATATAGCTATATATATTACATATAGATATATATAATATATATCGATATATATTATATATCGATATATAATATATATCGATATATATATAATATATATATAAACATATATAGGTGCATGTATCTGTATAATAAAATTATTTATATTACTTTGGGTATATACCCAGTAATGGGATTGCTGGGTCAAATGGTATTTCTGGTTCTAAATATACATATGTATATACATATATATATACACACACACATATATACACTTGGAAATTGTTTGCCAATCCATGCAAAGATTATCTACATATTTAATTATAATTTCATGGGAAAGGTTTTCTTCTGTCTTTCTATTATGCCTTCTATTTATTTTATTTTTTATTCTTTTGCCTTATTGTATTCACTGGCTATGACAGCCAGTATAATGTTGAATACAAGTAGTAAAAATGGCCGTCCTTGCTTTGGCCCTGTTCTGAGGTAAGCATATTAATGACTTCATTATTAAGTATGATATTAGCTGCAGGTTTGTCATAGATATTCTTAATTAAGCTGAACATTTTTCCTTTTATTTCTAATTTGCTGAGAATTTTTTTTTATCAAAAGTGGAGTTTTTATTTACCAAATTTTTTTTCTTCATCTATTGAGAATATCGTATTTACCTTTCTTCTTTATCCGGGTAATACAGTTTCCTTAATTACATTTTTTGAAACATAAATCAGCTTTGAATTTTCTGTATAAAATCCCAGTTGATAGTAATGTACTATTTATTTTATATAAACTGTGTTTGATTTCCTAATATTTTTCTGAGAATTTTAACATTTATGCAAATGACATTTTTTAAAAATATTCTTTTCTTATAACATCTTTATCAGGTTTTGGTATTTTGGTTATACCAGTCCTAAAAAACAAGGCAGTGATTTTGATAGATCATAGCTCTGTTGTTTTCTTTTTTAATCCAAATTGACAATCTCTGCCTTATAATTGGGAGTTTTAAATTCACTTACATTTAATGTAATTATGAATATGTCTGAATTTAGAATGACCATTTTGGTGTTTACTTTTTATTTATTCCATCTGTTCATTCAACACAAAATCTGTTTGTTGTTCTGTTCATTTCATTTTGCCATCTCATAAACAAATGTTTATTCAAATTCTATTGTAATTTTTTTAGGAGGTTGTAAGCTCTACCCTTTTGTTTTTTATTTTATTGGTTGCTCTAAGGATTAGAATATGCCTCCTTAATTTTTAAAGTCTACTTACAGTTGATAAGTATGCCAATTCACAAGAAATGTAAAAATCTGGCAATTGTGTCATTTGCTTTAATCCCCTATACTTGTGCTATTTCAAATAAATTGAGATATACATATATACATATACACATATATATTAAACCCTGCAATGATTATTAAAATCTTTGTTTTAAAAAGTCACTAGGCCTCTAAAGAAACTAAGAAGAAAAATGTAGTTTTTATATTTACTCATATATTCACTATTTCTGGTGGTCTTTATTCCATCCTCTACATACAGGTTTTCATGATATGTGAGTGTTCATCATTGGAAACAATACATTTTAATATTTCTTATACTGTAGATCTGTTAATTAAAAATTTTGAATTTTCTTATCTGAAAACTGTCTTAAATTTTCCCTCATGGTTTAAGGATATTTGCACTGAACACACAATTCCAATTCATTACCTCTATCCTCTGTACTTAAATAATGGTATTCCATTATGTTCTGACCTACACTATTTCTTATTAAGGTATGCTGTAATTTGCATGGTTTTTCTCCTGCATGCAATATATATCTTTTCTTGCTAGATGTTTTCAAAATTTTCCCCTTATCTTTGGATTTTGCCAGTTTGACTATATTGTACCTAAGGGTATTTTTCTTTATATTTACACTTTGAGGTTCAACATGCTTCCTGTATTTATAAGTTGGTATTTTTCTTAGTAAGTTTGGACGATTTTTGACCATTATTTCTTTAGGTATATATTAAACTTCTTCTTCTTCTTCCTCTCAGACTCCACAACACACATGATATACTTCATAATAAATTTCTATATATTACTGATGCTTTACTTTCTTTATTTTTTCAGTTCAGAATAGATAAGAACTATTCATAAATCTTTGAATTTATCAACTCTTTCTTCTTCTGTATCCAATCTTATGTTAAGGCTATCTAGTGGATTTTTCATTTTATTTTATTTTATTATTAATTATTTATTTATTTTTAAGTTCCAGGGTACACGTGCAGGGTGTGCAGGTTTTGTTGCATAGGTAAACATGTGCTATTGTGGTTTACTGCACTAGTCAACTCATTATTTAGGTATTAAGCCTAACATGCATCAGCTCTTTTCCCTAATGCACTTCCCACCCCTCCCTCCATCAATAGACCCTAGTAAGTGTTGTTCTCCCACCATGTCTATGTATTCTTATTGTTCAGCTCCCACTTATAAGTGAGAACATGTGGTGTTGGTTTTTTGTTCCTGACTTAGTTTGCTGGGTGAGGATACTGGCTTCCAGCTTCATCCATGACCCTGCAAAGGACATGATCTTGTTCCTTTTTGTGGCTGCATAGTATTCCACAGTTTGTATGTACCACATTTTCTTTATCCAGTCTATTATTGATGGGCATTTGGTTTGATCCCTTGTCTTTGCTATTCTGAATAGTGCTGCAGTGAAAATACATGTGCATGTATCTGTATAATAAAATGATTTATATTCCTTTGGGTATATACCCAGTAATGAGATTGCAGGGCCAAATGGTATTTCCAGTTCTAAATCTCTGAGGAATTGCCACACTGTCTTCCACAATAGTTAAACTAATTTACATTCCCACCAACAGTATAAAGGCGTTCCTATTTCTCTGCAATCTCGCCAGCATCTGTTATTTCCTGAATTTTTAATAATTGTCATTCTTACTGGCATGAGAATTTATCTCATTGTGGTTTTGATTTGCATTTCTCTAATGATCTGTGATCTTGGACTATTTTTTGTGTGTTGGTTACATGTATGTGTTTTTTGAGAAGTGTCTGTTCTTATTCTTTGTCCACTTTTTAATGGGGTTGTGTTTTTTCTTTTAAATTTGCTTAAGTTCTTTATAGATTCTGGATATTAAACATTTGTCAGATGGATAGATTGTAAAAATTTTCTCCCATTGGGCTTGTCTGTCTGCTCTGACAGTTTCATTTGCTGTGCAGGAGTGCCTTAGTTTAATTAGATACCATTTGTCAATATTTGCTTTTGTTGCAATTGCTTTTGGTGATTTCGTCATAAAGTTTTTGTCCATGCCTATGTCCTAAATGGTATTGCCTAGATTTTCTTCTAGGGTTTTTATAGTTTTGGGTTTTATATTTAAATATTTAATCCATCTTGAGTTAATTTTTGTATAAGATGTAAGGAAGGCATCCAGTTTCAATTTTCTGCATATGGCTAGCCAGTTCTCCCAGCACCATTTAATAAATAGGGAATCCTTTCCCCATTGCTTGTTTTTGTATGGTTTGTCAAAGATCATATGGTTGTAGATGTGTGGTTTTATTCATAAGCTCTCTATTCTGTTCCATTGGTTTATGTGCCTGTTTTTGTACCTGTACCATGCCGTTTTGGTTACTGTGGCCTCATAGTATCATTTGATGTCAGGTAGCATGAAGCCTCCAGTTTTGTTGTTTTTGCTTAGGATGGATGTGGCTATTCTAGCTATTTTTTGGTTCAATATGAATTTTAAAATAATTTTTTCTAATTCTGTGAAGAATATCAATAGTAGTTTAAAGGGAATAGTATCGAATCTATAAATTGCTTTGGGTAGTATGGTTATTTTCATGATATCGATTCTTTCTATCTATGAGTATGGAATGTTTTTGCATCTGCTTATGTCCTCTCTGATTGCTTTGAGCAGTGGTCTGTAGTTCTTAAAGAGGTGCTTCACTTCCCTTGTTAGCTGTATTCTTAGGTATTTTATTCTCTTTGCAGCAGTTGTGAATGGAAGTTCTTTTGTGATTTGGGTTTTTGCTTTTCTGTTGTTGGTGGACAGGAATGCTTGTGATTTCTGCACATTGATTTTGTATCCTGAGGCTTTCCTAAAGTTGCTTATCTGCTTAAGAAGTTTTTGGGCTGAGACAATGGGGTATTCTGGATATAGGATCCTGTCATCTGCAAACAAAGATAATTTGACTTCCTCTCTTACTATTTGAATACACTTTATTTCTTTCTCTTGCCTGATTGCCCTGGCCAGAACTTCCAACACTATGTTGAATAAGAGTGGTGAGAGAGGGTATTCTTTTCTTGTACCAGTTTTCAAGAGGAATGAGTTCAGCTTTTGCCCATTCAGTATGATATTGGCTGTGAGTTTGTCATAAATGGCTATTATTATTTTGAGGTATGTTCCTTCAATACCTAGTTTACTGAGAGTTTTTTAACATGGAGGGATGTTAAATTTTATGAAAGGCCTTTTCTGTGTCTATTGAGATAATCATGTGGTTTTTGTTTTTAGTTCTGTTTATATGATGAATTACATTTATTGATTTGTGTATGTTGAACCAGCCTTGCATTCCAGGGATAAAGCCAACTTAATCGTGGTTGATAAGCTTTTTGATGTGCTGCTGAATTTGGTTTACCAGTATTTTATTGAGGATTTTTGCATCAATGTTCATCAGGGATATTGTCCTGAAGTTTTCTTTTTTCTTGTTGTCTCTGCCAGGTTTTGGTATTAGGATGATGCTGGCCTCATGAAATGAGTTAGGGAGGAGTAACTCCCTTTCAATTATTTGGAATAGTTTCAGAAGAAATTGTGCCAGCTCCTCTTTTTACCTCTGGTACAATTCAGCTGTAAATCAATCTGGACTTTGGCTTTTTCTTTGGTTGGTAGGCTATTTATTACTGCCTCAATTTCAGAACTTGTCTATTCAGGGATTCAACTTCTTCTTGGTTCAGTCTTGGGAAGGTTTATGTGTCCAGGAATGTATCTGTTTCTTCTAGATTTTCCAATTCATTTGCATAGAGGTATTTAGAGTAGTCTCTGATGATTGTTTTTATTTCTGTGGGGTCAGTGGTAGTATCCCACTTCTCATTTCTGATTGTGTTTATTTGAATCTTCAGTCTTCTTCTTCATTAGTCTCATTAGTGGTCTATCAATTTTATTAATTTTTTTCGAATAACCAGCTCCTGGATTCATTGATTATTTTGGAAGTTTTTATTTATGTCCCTATCTCCTTCAGTTCTACTCTGATCTTGGTTATTTCTTGTCTTCTGCTAGTTTTGGGGTTTGTTTGCTTTTGTGATGTTAGGTTTTAGTTGTGATGTTAGGTTGTTGATTTGAGATCTTTCAAGACAGGCCAATATTCACATTCAGGAAATCCAGAGAACTCCAACAAGATAATCAAGGAAAAGATCTACCCCAAGACACATAATCATCAGATTCTCCAAGGTCAAAATGAAGGAAAAAATGTTAAGGTCAGCAGGAGAGAAAGGCCAGGTCACCTACAAAGGGAAGTCCATCAAACTAACAAAGGACCTCTCAGCAAAAACCCTGCAAGCCAGAAGAGATTGGGGGCCAATATTCAACATTCTTAAAAAAAAAAAAGGAAATTCCAACCCAGAATTTCACATTCAGCCAAACTAAGCTTCAGAAGCGAAAGAGAAATAAAATCTTTTTCAGACAAGCAAATGCTGAGGTATTTTGTCACCACCCCACCTGCCTTGCAAGAGCTCCTAAAGGAAGCACTAAACATGGATAGGAAAAACCATTTCCAGCCACTACAAAAACACACTGAAGTACACAGACCAATGACACTATGAAGCAACTACATTAACAAGTCTGCCAAATTAACCAGCCAACATCATGATGACAGGATCAAATTCACACATAACAATATTAACCTTAAGTGTAAATGGGCTCAATTCCCCAATTAAAAGACAGAATGGCAAGCAGGATACAAAGACAAAACCCATTTATGTGCTGTGTTCAAGAGACACATCTCATGTGCAAAGATGCACATAGACTCAAAATAAAGAGATGATGGAAAACTTACCATGCAAATGGAAAGCTGAAAAAAGCAGGGTTTGCAATCCTAGTTACTGACAAAATAGACATTAAGTCAACAAAACTCAAAAAAGACAAAGAAGGGCATTACATAATGTTAAAGGGTTCAATTCAACAAGAAGAGCTAACTATCCTCAATATATATGCACCCAATACAACAGCACCCAGATTCATAAAACAAATTTTTAGAGACCTATAAAGGGACTTAGACCCCCACACAAAAATAGTGGAAGCCTTTAATATCCCACTGTCAGTATTAGACAGATCATTGAGACAGAAAATTAACAAAAATATTCAGGACTTGAACTCAGCTCTAGACCAAGTGGACCTGATAGATATCTACAGAACTCTCCACCAAAGACAACAGAGTATACATTTTATTCAGTGCCACATGGCACTTACTCTAAATTCAATCATATAATTGGAAGTAAAACACTCCTCAGCAAATGCAAAATAACTGAAATCATAACAGTCTCTCAGACCACAGCATAATCAAATTAGAACTCAAGATTAAAAAGTCCACTCAAAACCATTCGACTACATGGAAATTGAACAGCCTGCTCCTGAATGACTCTGGGTAAATAATGAAATTAAGGCAAAAATTAACAAGTTCTTTGAAACCAATGAGAACAAAGACAACATATCAGAATCTCTGGGAGCAGCTAAAGCAGTGTTAAGAGGGAAATTTATAGCACTAAATGGATTTTTTTTTTATTTTACATATTTTATTACTTTTAGAATTTCAATTTGATTCTTTCTATAGGCCCTCTATCTCTGCTAATATTCCCTCATATGCTCATCTGCTCATTTATTATGGTCATTTTTTAAAGTCCTTGAACACTTTTGAATTAGCTGATTTAAAATCCTTGCTAATTCCAGCAGTTGGATCATCTCTCAGAGTTTTTGTCTGCTGACTGAACTCTTCCTTCAGTTACTTATATTTATCTGCTTCATTTTGTGTGTAGATTTTTTGTATTGTCTGCCAGAAATTATGGATACCAGAGGACTGAGAATCTGGAGTTAGTGTCTTCTTCTAGAGAGAGTAGAGTTGGGTTTTTGTTTTGTCTTTTTTTTTTTTTTTTATTTCACAGATGGTTAATTTTGTGGTCAATTAATCTTATCCTTTTGAATTTTGTGCTTAAATTTTGTTAGAATTTTCAGAGAGTAACCATTACTATAGTGGTTGAAAAGTCCTTCCCTAAGTTTCTTTCAATATCAACTGAAGTGACTGTATTTTTCAGCAAAGTATCTCTCATTTAGCTATTTAGAACGTCCTATGTATTCCAACACTGTGAGAACTTCAGATTTCAGCTCACAGATCCCTAGGAGCTTTCCTTTTCTTTTCCTTTTTTATTTCCCAGCACCAAGTATTGAACTACATGATCTTAAACATCTAAAAAAAATTTCCATATGTAGCTCATATACATATATATACACACACAAAAATTAGATATACATAGTCATATAGAAGCAATATATACATAATACATACATATATAATTTATATAAATTATATGCATATATGTATATTAAAATATACATGTGTCTTGGCCAGAGTGGAATTATAATAAACCATTTTAAATGGCTAGTTTTTCCTTTATTATACAAGTATTACATGTTCATTACAGATAAATTAGAAAAGCAAAAAATTTATTTGATAAGAAAACTACCTATAATACTAGTAATCAGAGGCAATCTTTGTGTTATATATGTAATATATATATATATAAAATTTTCAAATTATATACACACAAATTATTATATGTGTATAATATATATGAATGTTTTAAATAGAGAATATTTTTCCAATATGTTTATTTACCTAGTTTCCTTTTAATATATCTTAAACTATATAAACGAATCTAATGCTATAATATTATAACACTAATCATAAAAGAGATTTTATAATCTACTTTAAGTCATTTAAAGCCCCAACATAGGCTCTGTGCTTTTCTTGATAGAGTTATAATTTTTCTTGATGAATCTAATCTTTTGTCACCTGCTAGTTCCCATGGATGAACAAATTCTTAGGTAAATGCTGTGGTATTTGATGAGTTTACAGATGTGCATGTATAAGAGGATATTACTTGAATTACTAACATCAATTTCAAAAAAGAAAATATGACATAAATATGTGAATGAAGCCCCTTGGTAATTTTTACTTCATATTTATCATTTCAGAATAAATTTAAACAATGGGAGTTTAAAAATTGTAGCATTAAGTTACTAGGAGGAGGCAAAATAAGCTCTGAATAAAAAAATTAAAGTAACAGGGCTAAAAGTATCATAAGAAATGAGAGTCATTTGTAGATATAGACAAAGTTCAAGACTCTTTCCAAAATATATAGTGAAATGATAATCTGGATTTATCTTAATGTCCATGATGTGCATTGCTGGTTAATGAATAAACTCTGGAAGCAACAGGTTGCTCTGAAGGTAATTTAAATTATCCCAGTAAAGATTAAGGTAAGGGTTTTACTGGTCATTGGCCCAGTGATAAATGGAGTGAGCTGAAGATTGATTGCTAAACATTCACTGCCAAATTAGAGATGATCACTATTTTTCTCTTGTCCTCCCATAGTTTCTGATTACATTAAATCAGCTTTTTCTAAAATTCCCTTTTTTATGTAAAGCTTTTTCTAAAATTCCCTTTTTTATTTATGTATTTATTTATTTATTTTCTTCTCTTCACCTATATCACTCAGACTGTGAAGGAGGTTTTCAGTAACTATGAATTCTGGGAAATTGTGTAGCTTAGGACAAAAATCATTGGAATTGAAGATCAAAACAAATAATAACAGAATAATTGAAAAACATCTAAATATTGAAACTATTGGTTCTAGCAGTGTAATCTTAGGTCAGTTACTTAGCTTTTTTGAATATCAGTTTCTATATTTATAGGTTTAAGATAATAATCCTTATTTCACATTATGGTTATGAGAATTAAATGAAGATTATATATTTTTAGCTAGAAATAGCATAATGGCTAACACATAATAGTTGCTCAGTGAAAGGTTACTCTAGGTTCATTCATGACTACCGATTATCCGGATCAGGTGTCAGCATTTTTTTTTTTGATGAAGGAGCACATATAAAATATTTTAAGCTTTATGGGCTATACTGTCTCCATCATGGGCACTAAACTATGCTTTTACAGGACAAAAGGAACCCTATACAATACATTAAGGAATGAGCGTTACTGTATTCCATTTATCTTTGTATACAAAAATTGGCAGCAGACTGGATTTGGCCAGTAGGGGCAGTAGTTTGATGACCTCTGGTATAAGTTAAGAAATATTGTGGGGTTTTTTTGTTTGTTTACATATTTAGTCATTGGGCCTATATTTTAGGCTTCAGGCTTTGGAAAAATACAGAAAAAGAATTATCCATCCCTTTTCTTCCTAGAGGTCATTTTGCATGTCTAATCAAGATAAAATTTCACTACATTCTTTTCTGTAAATTATTGTGTTTTTAAATACCAAATTCCTTCGTAAAACTATGATTTTATTTATTACATTGCCTTCTTTTTTTTTTTTTTTTCTGAGATGGAGTTTTGCTCTTGTTGCCCAGGCTGGAATGCAATGGCATGATCTCAGCTCACTGTAACCTCTGCCTCCCAGGTTCAAGCGATTCTCCTGCCTCAGCCTCCCGAGTAGCTGGGATTACAGACATGCACCACCATGCCTGGCTAATTTTGTAATTTTAGTAGAGACGGGGTTTCTCCATGTTGATCAGGCTGGTCTCGAACACCTGACCTCAGGTGATCCGCCTGCCAGCAATTCTAAAGGTCAAGGTTTTTCAAAGTAATGTAAACCTATTTTTCTTGCCTTAGAAATAGTTATATTTGGGTTGGATTATTCTCTATAGATTTATCAGTGTAAATTCATTGGCAAATGGAAATCCTTGGAGTTGAATGTTATTCTCTGTCCTGTCTTGTGTCTAGCCTTCAACCTAAGCTACACTGGAGACCTCCTTGGTAATAAATAATTTTTAGCTTTTATTTGTTCTTTAGATTAGATAAACTTAGCCTAACTATATTATACATGGAGAAATATAAGAATTGTATTATATTTCCAGATTTATCACCAACTTAATGTATTATACTTAAAAATGAATATTCTAAAACCTACTATTTACGAGATTGCCATTAGCTTTATCCCTTTTCTCTGAACTTGTTATTGTCCTGAATGTATTTTCTATCATTCTCAAAATCTCTTGTTTTCTTTATTCTTTCTTTCCTCCTGTTTTCTCTAGAAAAACAGAAAAGTTCTTATCCACGTGGAATTTACTGTTTTATATGTTTTGGTATGCATTATTTAATTTCTTTTTCACAACCACTATGAAGCATGAAGCACAAGCCTTTTAATCCTTTCTTTAATAATTTAGAAATCTAAATGCAAAATAGTTGAAAACAATAGAAAACAATAAATTTAATATAGTTAGAAAATAATACAGCAAAGACCAAGGTCATGTCCTCTCAGTACTTACCCACTAATTTATCCTTTACACTCTGAAGGGTGATGAGCCTCTATTTGCAAAATGTTTTATATCCATGTTCTTCTTTCCATCTCCACTTAAATTGTAAAGGTGAATTATTTCTTAATTGTACTGTAAATTTATATAGTAGCATATTGTTTTACTCAATCAACATTTCATTGAATGTACACTAAATGCCATGAAATAGAATGGCCACTATTAACATAAATAAACATCAGCGGCATTAGCATTCTCCAGAGTAACAGAACCAATGGGATATATACAGAGAGATTCATGAGAAGATTTATTATAGGAATTGGCTTATGCAATTATGGAGGTCTATAAGTTTCATGATATAATGTCTGCAAGCTGGAGAACCAGGAAAGCTGATGGTGTAATTCAGTCTGAGGCTAAAGACACAAGAACCAGAGGAGCCAATAATATAACTCTCAGTCTAAAACTGAGAATCTCAGAACCTGGGAAGCCTCTGGTTTAAGTCCCAGATTTCAAAGGCTTGAGAAACAGGGAGGCACTGATGTCCAAGGGTAGGAGATGGTGGTGTCCCAGCTCAAGAAGCATGTAAATTCCTTCCTCTTCCATCTTTTTATTCCATTTCATGGGCTTTCAACAGATTGGATGATGCCCACCAACATTGGTGAGGATTGATCTTTACTCAGACTACTAATTTAAATGCCAGTCTCCTTTGAGATTACCCTCACAGACATTCCCAGAAATAACGTTTTACCAGCTGTTTGGGTATTCTTAACTCCATCAGGTTGACACATAAAATTCACCATAAGACCTGAAATTTAGCACCATGCCTTTTTCACATTATATCCACAAGATACATCTCAGTGTTACGTAAATATTTGAAAGTGAGTTAATTTTCTGTGAATGTCCTTAAGGAGTGAAAATTGCTACACATTTAAAGATACTATTTAGTGTGGAGGTGATGTATGAACACGAGATGAGAACTCTGGACCCAACTATGGTAACTTCAGTGAAGGGACCATTTCTCCTTATTAAGTTCCTCTTGTCCACTGTAAAATGTAAATAAAGCCACTAGTCTTAGAGTTGTAGAAGGCAGAGGAGAAAGAGTAGAAGAATGGGGGAAATATACTAGTGATAAATCTGGAGGACTTCTGATGAGTCTGTGCACTGGATTTTAGGTTTTGTATCCTATGTTTACCTATATAATATTCTAAAGTTTCCTGCGGGAATTGTCACCACTGGCACAGTGACAGAGGAAGATGAGGAGGAGATGAAACAATACCAAGGTTACTGCCATGACTCTCGGAGTAGGATTTTTCAGAAGGTGAGTTAGTCCACTAGAGAGCACTGGGCAACATGTAAAAGGTTATTTAAGGATTTCTTGCCCTGGGTGTTAGGGATATTGCTACCTTTTCCCAGATTTGAAGGGAGATCAATTTAATGACCTTTACCCTCTCTCTGTCCTTCATGTCCCTTTGAGCCACAGTATCATAAATATTTGCCAGTGTTATAAGATAATGTTATTTTCTTTTGTGATCAAATAAGGATTGAATCGTAAAAACAACCTTTTTTTCTTTGACTGTTTATTAGAAAAAGAATCACCTAATGTTATCTCTAGGATTCTTAACTTTCCATATTTTAAGTTAAAAGAAAGTTATTAAAGTTTTGTACCTGATCAATTATTAAAACTTTGCTTCATCAAATCTTTTATGTTACACTTATATTTGTCCTGATTTAAGGTACATTTCTCATTGTATTTGATATAACAAAACAATAGGCAAGCCTTCACAAAGCCATTGTTATTGTTAATGGACAACCCTTTCTATCTCCCTCCATAACCTCTCCACACATTAGAGAACCAATGTTTGGGTTCATTAATAGCCTTTCTTTAGAATCTTCTTTAATAAGAACCTCCTGAAACACATGCGTTTGAAGTATTTTTAAATATTAATTTTTGGAACGTCAATATTTTTAATAAATAGGCTGCTAACTCCGGAAGCCATATAAAGTTGAGCGTAAGGTGCAGGGATCAGCATGTCCCAATCCGTAAGTAAAAAACAAACGATACAATAAAACAATTTTATCCTGTTGCCAAGTGTCTAGTATCCAGGGAGAACTACAGTGAAAAGTGAAAGGACTTGCTTGGGAAACTGCCCTTCAGTTAAATATTTATCCCACAAAATTTATCAACTTGGTATTGAAAAATGTTTATGTTTTATATTAATTTTAAATAAAGATAGATAAATAGATAGACATGGATAGCTATTGCAGGCCCATGGTATTCAAGATATCTCATGTGTTATTCAAATTCTCTTTTTTTAAGCATATCTCCATGGTATATTCTGGAAAAAATTCCAACTATGTTGGAGCTTATGCTAACTCTAGGCTTAATTTTCTCCTGTGGGTTAATTTCACTTTTGGATTGCACAGATTAAATAAAAGGGTAAATGAATATCAGGTTATCAGTCCCTACTTTATAGTGCTGGATATGACATCATGAAGAGCAAACACATGAAACCCATCTTGACATTCTGTAAGATGGGGCATAAACTTATTTTTACCATTTCTCAATTTTAATGATAACATTACGACTAAAGAAAATAGGTACAATAAGGTGCAATATACGTAGGGTATAAACAAAATGTTTAAAATTAACCAATAGTTATTAGTGAAGAGAAGATACTGCTGCCTGATATGAATAGACTAATGACAGTTAAAGATAAATAGATATGAGCAACTTAACGTTTAAGAATGTGTAAATTTGCTCACTCGTAGGTGGGAATTGAACAATGAGAACACATGGACACAGGAAGGGGAACATCACACACCGGGGCCTGTCGTGGGGTGGGGGGAGGGGGGAGGGATAGCACTAGGAGATATACCTAATGTAAATGACGAGTTAATGGGTGCAGCACACCAACATGGCACATGTATACATATGTAACCAACCTGCACGTTGTGCACATGTACCCTAAAACTTAAAGTATAATAATAAAAAATAATAATAATAATAATAAAAGAATGTGTAAATTTGTTTAAAAGACTAGAGAAACTAACTTGGTGAAATTATATAAAAGTATGTCACATGACTAATTTAATCTTGAAAATAAAATGATTAGAAAATGAGATGAAGAGAAAGATTTGGAATGTAAGCCAAGAATAAATAAGAGATAGAAATATCACCATCTGGAAGATTGAAAAAGCACATTAAAGAAAATATTATTAAGAATTATAATAAAATGACAAGATAAAATAAGAATAAAATAGTCTTAGTAGCATTAATTCTAAAAAGTTAAAATAGGCAACATTTTTAAGGAAATATCTTGAAAAATGAACAGTAGACTAGAAAAAGTTTTTAAAAACCTAGAGTCATAAAATCAGCTCTCAAAGTCAGAGATGACTACTTTCAAACAATGGCATCTATTCACATTACAAGGGTTAACATCTCTGAAGAAGTGAACAGTCATTTAGTGTGAGGCAGATGAAGCAACCTCCTGAACTAGAATTTCATTTTCTTGGCTGGAACTCGTTGCAAAAAATTTCATATTGGTTAAGGTCTCTTGTCATTAACACTTAGTCCAGCAATTCTGCAACATGACCATCTCTCTCCCTAAACTCTTCATCCCACAGGGAAGATCAAAAAACAGGCAGATGGTAACCTTTAGTCTTTGCTAAAATCCAAAATATAAATTTCAACTATAGATAATGTAGCTAAGATAATTTCAAGATACTCATTTAATCTTTTTGCGAATCTCTTTTAGATGATTCTGTGGGAGAAAGAGAAACAAGTTGAAGATAAATATATCATAATTGAAATATTAAATGATTTTCAAATTTTAGAATCAATAAAATCAATAAATTTGCTATACATTGTCCTAAAACCTAGTCCATTCTATACAAGTGAGGCAGAATTGAATGTGTCTTGGAGACAAGGTGCCGGAACTCAAGTCAGGTAGCTGTACAGTCCTGATCTCCTTTCTCTTCTAGCCTATGAAAGAAGGTTTCCCATCGCCAGACAATGTGTGGCTTTTCCTAAGCAGGATGGGCTGTGTCTGATAAAGGAGGTAGAGACTCAAGAATGGAGAATGCATACGTGTGAATCCTAGGCCCGCTGAAGGACTCTTTCCCCAAGCTTCACTGAGCTTGCAATGTAGTCATGCCCTCAAACCTCTGAGCCTAACGTGTCTATTTGCCTCCCTACCCACAGGTAATCCAGTTGAACTGGCAGATGTGAATCAATGAATTAAAATGTTTTAAATATCTATTAGTTATTTTTTCCTTACAGTTCAAATCCCACTTTCTAGGGAAGTAAACTAGGGCAATTTTCTTCATTTTTTGCTTCACTTTCTGTGACTATAAAGTTAGGGATAAAAATAGTGTTCAGAGGCCGGGCGCGGTGGCTCACGCCTGTAATTGCAGCACTTTGGGAGGCCGCAGAGGGTGGATCACGAGGTCAGGAGATGGAGACCATCCTGGCTAACACGGTGAAACCCCATCTCTACTGAAAATACAAAAAATTAGCCAGGCGTGGTGGCGGGCACCTGTAGTCCCAGCTACTCAGGAGGCTGAGGCAGGAGAATGGCTTGAACCTGGGAGGCGGAGCTTGCAATGAACCGAGATCTCGCCTCTGCACTCCAGCCTGGGCGACACAGCGAGACTCTATCTCAAAATAATAATAGTAATAATAATAGTGTTCGGAAGTAGCATTTATTAACTATTAATTGTATACTGATAATTGTTCAAAGAGCTTAATCGAGATTGAGTTCTAATGCCTAGGTCAATATTAAAGAGTGTTATATTATTATCTGCATGTTTATAGATGAGTATATCAAAACCAGAAAGGTTAAGTAACTTGCCCAAAATAAGTGCCAGGGCTACAGTCTGAACCTGTGCTATGCCTATGTGCCTAACAGAGTGAGGATGACATAAGATAAAATATGTAAAATGCATACCACACTGCCTGGCACATAGTAGTCATCAATAAAAAGTAATCTCATTATTATTATTTATGAATCTTCTCTTCTGCAGTTGAATTTCCTCTCTCTTCAGTTGGAGTTCATTTCTATTGTGTACGTCCAGATATTTTCTGAATACTCATCTATTGGAAAAGGGGAAAATAGGCTATACTATGTCTATTTTAAGTACAGAAACTGATATCCTTGTGGTTTTCAATTAGCCTCATTTCAGGGATATAGAATCAACTTACGAAAAAAATTAATTTTATGCATGTGAATATGTCCATGATTTCAAATATTTTCTTCATACAGAAACATTCAGAATGTGCCTTGTCAACTTTAACTTTATGCAAAGCTCAATTCTCATCATTCTGAAATAACGAGGATTGGGGAACACCAGGGAATGCAAATATAGATGAAATACCCACATCACAGTTAAAATGTATTGCAAATTTGGTCTGTTAAAATTGTATCTAGTATTTAGAAATATACTTATTATTCTGGAAACCTTCAAACATTAAAAATTATAATACAATAGTTTGGCAGTATTTAATATCACATAAATTGTTAGAAAAGATAAGACAGAAATTTGTCCCTTAAAAATCATTTATCATTGAATCCAATCTCTTATCCAAGCCCTTTTTAGGTTGAGAAGAAATGAACCAAATCTCTGGGAGAGTTATATTAATAGCTCAAGTTTATTTTTTTCTACTTGTTCTTGATCAATGCCAACAATCTTAATTCTGTGGAGTTGGAATCCACAATCACTTTCAACTCCTTTGTGCTATGCCTTGTGTTTTAGAGTACTGTTAGTAGAGGAAAAGGGAATATGGTTCCTGGAGGGATACATCTGACATGATATAAATTGTATTTCAGAGGATATTTATTTGTTCACTCAGTAATTCATTCAATGAATACATTTATCGTGTATTTGTACAGATGAACAAAATAGATAAAGACCCTACATACTGTTCTACATGTTATCTTGTGTGTATTTTTCCGTGAATATTTTGTTATACATTCACGTATCCTATTTGTCTGTGTTATATGCATTATATATGTGTTATATATTTATGTAGTCTATGTGTCTGTGTTATATGTATTATATAATATATAAAGGTATATGTAATAATATATATGTGTGTTATTATGTGTATTATATGCAAAGTTTAAGAGTATTTTTTGAAATTTAAGGATTTTCAGAACTCAAAAAGGTAAAATCCACAATATGTGTCATCCAATAAAAAATGACCAGATATTCAAAAAAGCTTTTCTACTTGTGATTTTCAAGAAATAATACCTGACCAATATGTGGGGCAAAGGCTTTGAAACTATGTGAATCACTTCATATTTTCTATAGAAGTGGATACAATTAAGGTAAGTTGATCCCAGGGCAGGAGTTGACCTATGTGTATAGAAAGAAACACTGTACTCACCTGCCCTTTTCTAAGAAATAAGTAGAGTAAATTACTTAATGATTACTAAGTTGAATTTTCATGGAGGACATGGATTTCTATTGTATGTACATTGATGCTCAACACACCATGGTGGAAGTAGTGGCACACAGGCACGTGTGCGTTAAATGAGATCCCCCACAATATTTGCTGCATTATCCCCAACATCATCATCCTACTCCAAACTTCATGTTACTTCCTGTCTCCCTACTGAGAACCTCTATTAATCAAAATATCATGACTTACCTCTAGCTAAAATACCCCTCCTCTATCTCTCCTGAGGCATCTCTCCTTATCCATCAGATTTTCCTTCTTTGAAATTTTCTTGCACTTATCTCTGACTGACACAGTGTATATTTACTCTTTTTAGGGGTTCAATATCTGTCTGTCATCAAAATATAAACTCCATGAAACAACAAACCTCATATTTACCTCTGATTCTTCTTAGTCCATATTAATAATTCATATTTATTAAATGAATTAATTTTTCTTGATGTCACACAATTACTTCATTGTTGATCTAATTTTTTTAATTTTCTGTAAGTACAAGTTAGAGCTTTTAACACTACTGTCCCAAAATAGGTGCCAAGACAAATCCACTCTATTCCTAAATTTGATAATAGATTTTATAAAAAATAGATATTACTTTCAATAATCCACTTTTATAATCTTTTAAATATATATATATATACTGCTGGTAGAGATTCACAGCAAACACATTACTTGTATCAAATTGAATTACATTGATTTAAGTTTATTAAATATTAACTGAATATCTATTAGATGTCAAGCCTGTGATCAATCCTGGGAATACAACAGTGAATTAAATATTCTCATGGCTCCTGCCCACATAGCTTACAGTCTAAATGCCCCATAAATAATTTTCCATGAGAAAAATTAAATGTAATTAGAAGAGAGAAATGTGAAAATCTTAAATAATTCTAAATCTATGTGGCAATTAGCCCAGTTACATTCATGATGAACGATAAAAAATATTACATAGGAAATGGTTAAAAATATAAGTAAAAACCTCATATTGAATGGAGTACTGACTGTCTTCTTGGAAGAATACATTTTTGGATTAATATCAAAATAATATAATTTAAAGTATATAATTTAAAGTTGTTTTTGGAAGTAAATAATCTTGCTTCTTAACTGTGTTGAAACTCCTCTAGAAAGAAGATTTAGTTGGATTCTAATCTCTGCCACTTATAGACCGTGAGACCTAGAACAAATTACTCGGCTTTTTCTGATTCTCAGTTTCCTTCTGAAACTATAATAATAACTTTTCTTCTTTTAAAACATTATAGTCAGAATCAAATGAGAATATGTTTTAGAAAATGGTTTGAAAACCACAGAAACTGATATAACATAGAGCTTTGCAAATATTAAATGAACTAAATTTGCAAGTGGCTCATCATATAGTTATGAGCACTTAGTAGATGGTCAGTATATTCAGCTATGATTATATCGGAGATGAAAATAAAGGTAAAAATTTTATGTAGAAGAGTTTGAAAGAAAATTGTATTTCTATAAAAAATTTTTGAAATTAAGGACTGGAGTGATTTTTTCTTAAATTTTGATGTGATGTAATTAGAACGTAATGGCAACAGTTTACATAACAATGTGTGAAGCTAGTGCTCACCTCATGTTCCTACTTCAATTCTTTCTCCAGTGATGCTTAGTGAGGCAGGGAAAGGTGAAAATAAACAAATGTTATTCACTAAATTAAATATAATGTTGCTGTGTCTTTCATTATATTATTTTTAACACTGGTTTCTCTGATACCCATTTGGAGCCACATGAGGGTCATATCAGACTGCTTTTCTAAATATTAAAAGCAGAATATCTGATATTAGATGTGATTCAAATTTTTCAGGTAAATTTTTCTTTTTGGAAACTTTGGAATCAGAACATAAAAAGTAAGTAAATATTAAGTAAATATGGAATCTTTTCCAGAAGTTATTTATCAGAAAGAAAAAATGTGGACATTTAAGCAAATTACAAACATTAAAAATGTCTTATTTTGCTACTCGACAGAAGCACTACACTCTTCTACTTGAATTCAGCTATGAACAATGTTCATTGTCTATTGAAATATTTTCCTTAAGAATTTATTTTATTACTTTAGGTAAAGGAATCATCCAGTACAATATCATTCCTTCATTATTATTAGCAATGAAAGTCATTCTTGTTCGTACTAAAAATTATACTACTGAGTCACTTTTATTCTCATTATTTTAAAAAAGAACTATTTTGTACTAGTGTTTGTAACATAGAATAAGAAACATGGCAAAACATGCGATATACATATATATATGTTCCTGAAAACACTATTCATATAGATTCATATAGATTTCAATGTGAATGGTGTTTTATGGAGTTGTGGAATGAAATGGTTATATTACCCTCTACAAGGTAGTATGATTATTAAATGCACAGACAGGAGTGAAATTGCCTGAGTTAAAATACTGAATTGTTCTTGCTAGCTGTGTGCTTCATTTTCTGCCACTATAATAAACCCTGTTTCTATTATTCTATCACTAATATCTTATGCATTGTATCTCTAATTCAGCATGTATAATGCTCAATTATTACATTTTAATTCATTTAAAAAATAAGTACATGACTATTTCATGTGATAATAGACAAAGCTAATGTCAAGTATACAGAAAAATAACAAGATTTAATTTTCCATCACGCAATTTAGACACATGTTGTGAGATTCTAGTAAGATAATGAATGTTAAAGATTGTCAACATTTTTAAAGTCCTCTGAAAAAAAGGAAAAAAAATTTCTCTACTATATGATTGTCCAGACTAATTTTTTTTTGCTTCTATTTGTCATTTTTGTCATTTGCCTTCAGGCAAATTTATTGGGAAGATAAAATCAGACAGGAAATGAAAAGTTAAATATCATAACTTCACAGGAGAAATTCCAATAAAGTTTAAATCTGTTTCAATTAATAATTACAAGATGAATAAAGAATTTTTTCAAAAATGGGAGCTGCCTCCATTATTTTAAAAAAAGCACAAACCCAATTCCAAATGAATTGGCTAAAAATACAGAATTTATTCAGATGTTTAAGGAAATAAAATTGAGGGCCGTATGAAATCCCAAATAATAAAACTTCAATATTTTCTTTAAAAAACACTTTTCTTTTCATAAAGGTACTAACATCATGTTTGGAGTTTCACTTATCACTAACATTAATACTATATAATGCTTATATTGCGTCTACTATTAGCTTATGCTACTTAATATATATTTGGCTGATGTGTTCCTAACAACTCTGTACTCTAGAATAGAAGACATTGTATTCCTTTTACAAATGAGGAAATGGAAACACAACGTTGAGTGGACTTGGCCAGTGTTAAATTACTGAGTTGCAATTTGAAGCTGGGCAATCTGGCTTTGAAATCTGTGTCCTCAAACACTAGATTACACTGTTTCTCAACGTTTTTAAAACTCCTACTTGAACTTCCCACTGTCTGATCACTTCTTCCTTTTCTTCTAACCAGCCTAATGTAGCATCCTGTAGAATCAATAGTTCTACGTGAAGCTGAACGGATATGTGGCTCTTTTTACACAGCTCTTCCCCCTTGATAACTCTAGAGATAAAACCAAGCCTCTATCTAGCCCACTTGTTTCTGAGAGCTGATGAGACACAGGGTTTTATAGACCCCAGAAGTGGCAAAGAACAAACCAATGGGTTGAAGGTGTGTTAAGTCTGACCAAGAGTACAGGCATTTGCCACAGATCCTCTCCTAGCTTGGTGCAGAGCTAGTGAAAGATAAATTCCAGCTCCAAGCTTCTGCTTGAGAAGAAAATTAACTGAAACATATATATAGCACAACAATTTTTTCAACTACTACTTGAAAACTGGCTTCTATCTCACCTATATTTAGGCACAGATGGAACTTGGTACACTCTAGTTTATTTATTTATTTGTTTATTTATTTATTTATTTATTTATTGCTTTTTGAGATGGAGTCACACTCTGTTGCCCAGGCTGGAGTGCAGTGGCGTGATCTCGGCTCACCACACCATCTACCTTCTGGGTTCAAGTGATTCTCCTACCTTGGCCTCCCAAGTAGCTGGGACTATAGGCACATGCCACCATGCCTGGCTAATTTTTGTATTTTTCAGTAGAGATGGCGTTTCACTATGTTGGCCAGGCTGGTCTCAAACTCCTGACCTCATGATTTACCCACCTCGGCCTCCCAAGTGCTGGGATTACAGGTGTGAGCCACCATGCCCAGCAGGTACACTCTAGTTTAGTTGGGGCCACTAAGTACAAAGATGAAGGTTTGAACAAGTAGAAAAATTTGAGAGGCACCCAGAAACTCCAGTAAAGCTGATAGGTGAGATTAATTTCCTACACAAGGCCAGCCTGACAAGACTGGGAGAGGTAGCTGAATTATTTGATGTGGAGAAACCAACACAAAGAGTCAAGGAAAATGAAGAGATGATGAAATATTTTCTAAATAAAAGGACAAAATAAAAATCCAGAACCTTACACTGATGAAATGGATATATGCGATTTACCTAAGAGAATTCAAAATAATGGGATAAAGATGTGTATGGAAGTCAGGACAGCAATGTATGAATAAAGTGAGAATTTCAACAAAGGGATAGGAAATGTTTTTAAAATGTCAACCCCACAAATCAAGGGGCTGCAGAATACAATAACCGGACTGAAAAATTCAATAGAGAGTCTCAACAGGAGTTTAGATCAAGCATAGGAAAAAATTAGCAAACTTGAAGACAAGTCATTAAGATCATTTAATTAAAGAAGCAAAAAGATAAAAGGAAAAATAACTAAAGATAGCTTAGGAAACTTACGACACCAAATAAAGTGAGCCAATATATGCATTCTGGGAGTCCAAAAAAAGAAGAGAAAGAGAAAGAGGGTTTATTCAAAGAAATAATGGCTGAAAATTTCCCAAACCTGCTGAAAGAAATGAACATCAGTTTCAAAATTCCCAAAGGACAGAAAATAGAATGAATGCAAAGAGATCCACATCAAAAAATATTATAATCAAATTATCAAAAGTTAAAGACAAAGAAAATTTTGAGAGCAGCAAGAGAAAAGTGACTTGTTATATTCAAGGGAAACTCTATGAAACTATCAGCAGACTTTTCGGCAGAAACCTTCCAGGCCAGGAGGAAGTGGGATGATATATTCAAAGCATTAAAAGGAGAAAAAAAAAAGACTGCCAACCAAGCATAAAATAACTCACAAAGCTGTCCTTCAAAATTGAAGACAAGGAGATCAGAGCAAGATAGTGGAATAGAAGCCTACATTGTTCATCCTCCCCCAGTGAAACCCAAATTTTAACAACTATCTCCACAAAGAAAAGCACCATCACAGCAACCAAAAATCAGGTCCCAACTCAGACACAGTAAGGTAGAACAAAAAGCAGCCTTCTGGGTTCACAGAATCTAGGCTTAGCCTCTTGAACAGCATTTCTGGACCTTCCCTGGACCAGAGGGGAGTCCACCACCCTGAAGGGTAAGTCTCAGGCCTGGCAGAAATCAAGATAAGCTGACCAAAAAAAAAAAAAACCTTGGGCTTTAAGTGAACATCAGTGGTGGCCTGGCAGAATGCCTGGTGGAATACTGATGGTGGTATCCACTGGGACAGTCTCCTCTGCTTGTAGGAAGGGTAGGGGAGAGCATGAAGAACTTTGTATTGTTGTGAGTGGAGAGAATATCAGGTAAACTGTTAACGTTTTTGCCTCCAATTTCTGGCTCCCAGAGAGCATCTCTGGACACACCCAGGGCCTGGAAAAACTTACTGACCAGAAGGGAAGGGCCTGGGGCAACAAGACTCAATGCTGTGCTGGTTTCAGGTCTGACCCAGCACAGTCCCAGTGGTGCTGCCCACAGGAGTGCTTGCATCACCACACCCAAATTTCCAGGTAGCTAATCATAGAGAAGGAGACTCCATTAGTTTGGGGGAAGTAAGGGAAAAAAACAAGAGTCTCTGCCTGGTATTCCAAAGAATTATTCAGAATCTTATCAAAGACCACCACGTCGGTACCTCTATGAGGCTGCAAAACCATAGCATTATTGCACTTGGAGTCCAAGTGTCTTCAAATACTTGCAAAGCCTTCTTGAGGACAGTCACAAAGAAGCCCAGACTGTGAAAATTACAATAAATACCTAACTCTTCAATTTCCAGACACTGATGAACATCTACAAGTATCAATACCATCCAGGAAAACATGACCTTATCAAACATGACCTACATAATGTACCAGGAACCAATTCCAAAGAAACAGTGATGTATGAGCTTTCAGAGAGGTAATTCAAAATAGCTGTTCTGAGGAAACTCAAAGAAATTCAAGATAACACTGAGAATGAATTCAGAATTCTGAGATTAATCTAACAAAGATTGAAATAATTTAAAAGAATAAAGCAGAAATTCTAGAGTTAAGAAACATAATTGACATGCTGAAGAATCCATGAGTCTTTTAATAGTGGAGCTGATAAAGCAGAAAAAAGAATTAGTGAGCTTGAAGATAGGCTGTTTGAAAATACACAGTCAAAGGAGACCAACAAAACCAAACAAAACAAGCACACTTACAAAATATAGGAAATAGCCTCAAAAGGGCAAATCTAAGACTTATTGGCCTTAAAGAGAAGGCAGAGAAAGAGAAAGGGGAAGAAAGTTTATTCAAAGAGATAATAACGATAACTTCCCAAACCCAGAGGATGATATTACCATTAAAATACAAGAAGTTTATAGAACATTAAGCAGATTTAACCCAAATAAGACTATCTCAAGGCATTTAATAATCAAACACACAAATATCAAGTGTAAAGAAAGGATCTTGAAAGCAGCAAGAGAAAAGGAGTAAATAACATACAATCGAGCTTCAATAGGTCTGGCAGCAGACTTTTCAGTGGAAACCTTCCAGGCCAGAAGAGAACAGCATGACATATTTAAAGTGCTGAATGAAAAACTTTTACCTTAGAATAGCATATCTGGTGAAAATATGATTTAAACATAAAGAAGAACTAAAGACCTTCCCAGACAAACAAAAGCTGAGGGATTTCATCAACACCAGACCTATTCACAGGGAATGTGAAAGGGAGTTCTTTAATCTGAAATACAAGGATGTTAATGAGCAAGAAGAAATTACCTGAAGGTAGAAAACTCACCAGTCATAATAAGCACACAGAAAAGCATAAAATATTCTGCACTGTAACTGTGGTATGTAAACTTCTCTTGACTTACATAGAAAAACTAAATAAGTAGAAAGACTAAATGAGGAACCAATAATAAATAATAGCTGCAACAACTTTCAAGACATAGGCAATATAATAAGACATAAAAAGAAACAACAAAAAGGTCAAAACTTAAAGTGTAGAGTTTTTGTTAGTTTTTTATTGCATGTTTGTTTATTCATTTATACAATCAGCTAAGTTGTCATCAGTTTAAAATAATGGGTTATAATGAAGTACTTGCAAACTTCATGGATATCTCAAATCATAAAACATACAAAACAAATACAAAAAAGCAAGAAATTAAAGCATACCACCAGGGAAAATTATCTTCACTAAAAGGAAGAAAGGAAGGAAGAAAAGAAGGAGGAGAAGACCACAAAACAGACAGAAAACAAATAACAAAACAGCTGCAATAAGTCTCTACTTATGAATAATAACATTGAATGTAAATTGACTAAACTCTCCAATCAAAAGACAGAGTAGGTGAATGGAAGAAAAAAGGAAAAAAAAAAATCCCAAGACCAAAATATCTGTTGCTTACAAAAAACACAATTCACCTATAAAGACACATAGACTGAAACTAGAGGACTGGAAAAAGATACTTCATGCCAATAGAAATCAATGAGTCGCTACACTTATATTGGATAAAATAGATTTCAAGATGAAAACCATAACAACAAAGGTCACTATATGATGATAAAGGGATTGATTCAGCAACAAGATATGATGATTGTAATTATATATATACCCAACACTGGAGCACCCAGATATATAAAACTAATCTTACTAGCACTAAAGAGAGAGATAGGCCCTGATGCAATAACAGCTGGAAACTTCAGCATCCTACTTTCAGCACTGGGCAGGTCTTCCAGGCACAAAATCAACAAACATCAGACTTAATCTGCACTGTAGACCAAATGGACCTTGTGTTAGTCCATTCTCACACCACTATAAAGAAGTACCCAAGACTGGGTAACTTATAAATATAGGAGGTTTAATTAGCCCATGGTACCACAGGCTGTACGAGATGCATGATGGCTTCTGGGGAGGCCTCAGGAAACTTTCAGTCATGGTGGAAGATGAAGGAAAAGCAGGCACACCTTACAGAGTCAGAGCAGGAAGAAGGGCAGGGGAGGTACCACACACTTTTAAATAACAATATATCATGAGAACTTTATCACAAAATGTCACTAGGGGGATGGTACTAAAGCATTAGAAACTGCCCCCATGATCCAATCACCACCCACCAGGCCCCACCTCCAACACTGGGGATTACAATTCGACATGACACACAGGGAAAAGATCCAAACTATATCATTACATCCCTGGCCCCTATCAAATCTCATGTTCTCACATTGTAAAGTATAATCATCACTACTCAATAGTCCTGGAAGTCTTAATTTATTCCAACATAAACTCAAAACTCCAAAGTCCAAAATCTTATCTGAGACAACAGTAGTCCCTTCAGCCTGTGATATGGTTTGGCTGTGTCCCCACCCAAATCTCATCTTGATTGTAGCTCCCATAATTCCCATATGTTGTGGGAATGACCTAGGGAGAGAGAATTGAATCATGGGGGCAGTTTCCCCCATACTATTCTCACGGTAGTGAATAAGTCTTATGACATCTGATGGTTTCATAAGAGGTTTCCCTTTTCTCTTGGCTCTTATTCTCTCTTGTCTGCAGTGATGTAAGGCATGTCTTTCACCTTCTGCCATGATTGACTTTTACCTTACACCTCCTCAGCCACGTGGAACTGTTAGTCCATTAAACCTTTTTTCTTTATACATTATCCAGTCTTGGGTATGTCTTTATCAGTAGCATGAAAACGGACTAATACAGTAAATTGGTACTAGTAGTGAGGTGCTGCTGTAAAGATACCCAAAATTGTAGAAGTGACTTTGGAAATGGGTAACAGGCAGAGATTGGAACACTTTGGAGGGCTCAGAAGGAGACAGGAAAATGTGGGAAAGCTTGGAACTCCCTAGAGACTTGTTGAATGGCTTTGACCAAAATGCTGATAATAATATCAACAATGAAATCCAGGCTGAGGTGGTCCCAGATGGAGATAAGAAACTTGTTGGGAACTGAAGTAAATGTGACTCTTGCTATGTTTCAGCAAAGAGACTGGAGGCATTTTGCCTCTGCTCTAGAGATTTGTGAAACTTTGAACTAGAGGGAGATGACTTAGGGTATCTGGTGGAAGAAATTCCTAAGGACTAAGGCGTTCAAGATGTGACTTGGGTGCTGTTAAAGGCATTCAGTTTTAAAAGGGAAACAGAGCATAAAAGTTTGGAAAATTTTCAGCCTGATGACGTGATAGAAAAGAGAAACTCATTTTCTGAGAAGAAATTCAAGGCAGCCAGTGGCAGAAATTTGCATAAGTAATGAGGAGCCAAATGGTGACCTCCAAGACAATGAGGAAAATGTCTCCAGGGCATGTCAGAGACATTTGCAGCATCCCCTATAATCACAGGTCCAGAAGCCTAGGAGGAAAGAATGGTTTCATGGGCTGGGCCAAGGGCTCCCCTGCTGTGTGCTGTCTAGGGACTTGATGTCCTATGACCCAGCTGCTGTAGCCATAGCTAAAAGGAGCCAAGGTACAGCTCAGGCTATGGCTTCAGAGGGGGCAAGTCCTAAGCTTTGGTGGTTTTCATGTGGTGTTGAGCTGGTGGGTGCACAGAAGTCAATAATTGAGGTTTGGGAACCTCTGCCTAGATTTCAGAGGATGTATAGAAATGCCTGGATGTCCAGGTAGAAGTTTGCTGCAGGGACAGGCCCTCATGTAGAACCTCTGCTAGGGGAGTGTAGAAGGGAAATGTGGGGTCAGAGCCCCCACACAGAGTCCACTGGGGCACTGCCTAGTGGAGTTCTGAGAAGAAGGTCACCATCCTCCTGACCCCAGAATGGTAAATCTACCAACAGCTTGCACCATAGACCTGAAAAAGCCACACTCAACACCAGCCTGTGAAAGCATCTGGGAGGGAGGCTGTACCCCGCAAAGCCACAGGGGCAGAGCTGCCCGAGACCATGGGAACCCACCTCTTGCATTAGTGTGACCTGGATGTGAGTCAATGGAGATAATTTTGGAACTTTAAGATTTGACCACCCCATTGGATTTTGGACTAGGACAAAGCCTGTAGCCCCTTCATTTTGGCCAATTTCTTCCATTTGGAATGGGTACATTTATCCATTTGGAAGGCAAAGAAGAAGCAGTCAAATCTTACATGGCCAGAGTAGGGGGAAGGGGATTGTGGAGGTGCTACACACTTTCAAACAATCAGATCTTGTGAGAACTCTATCATGAGACACCACTAGGGGGGTGGTGCTAAGCCATTAGAAACTGCCCCTATGACCCAATTGCCTCTCAGCAGCCTCCATCTCCAACACTGGGGATTAAAATTTGACATGAGATTTGGTTTGGGAAACAGATTCAAAGCAAATCAGACCTAATTGATATTTACGGAAAATTTCATCTAATCGCTGCAGAATACAACTTTTTGTTCTCAGCACAGGGATTATTCTCAAGGATAGACCATATGTTAGGCCACAAAACAAGTCTTAAAACATTCAAAAGTTTTAAATAATATCAAACATCTTCTCTGACCGCAGTGGAATAAAATTGATAAATGATAACAAGAGGAATTGTGGAAATATACAAACACATGAAAATGAATGACCAGTGGGTCAATAAAAAAATAAGAGAATTGGCAAATTTCTTGAAATAAGTTTTAATGAAAACACAACATATCAAAACTATAGGTTACAGCAAAAGCAGTACTAAGAGGGAAATTTGTAGCTATAGGTACCTGTTTGAAAAAAGAAGAGAAAGTTCAAATAAGTAACGTCATAATTCATCTTAGAGAAATAAAAAACCAAGAGCAAACCAAACCCAAACTTAGTAGAGGAAAACAAATAATAAAAATTAGAATACAACTAAATGAATTTGAAATGAAGAAAACATTATGGAAGAACAGTGAAACAAAATGTTCGTTTTTTGAAAAGACAACAGGAAGTGACAAACCTTCAGCCAGACTAACTAAAAGAGATAAGATCCACATAGATAAAAACAGAGATGAAAGAGGAGACACTACAACTCATACAGCAGAAATTCAAAAGACTATTAGTGGCTACTATGAATAGCTATCTGCCAACAAATTGGAAAATCTGGAAGAAATGGATAAATTTCTAGGTGCATACAACCTACAAAGATGGAAACATAAACAAATGCAAAATTTGAACTGACCAGTAGTAAGTAGCAAGATCAAATCTGTGAAAAGAAGTCTCCCAGTAGACAAAAGCCCAGGACCTAATGGCCTTATTGCTGAATTCTACCAAATATTTATAGAACTAACACTAATCATTATCAAACTATTCTGAAAAATAGAGGAGGAGGGAATTCCTCCAAACTCATTCTATGAAGCCTGATACAAAAACCAGATAAAGACACATCAAAAAAAAAAAAAAAGTGGAAACTCCTGGCCAGTATCTCTGATGAATATTGATGCAAAAATCCTCAACAGAATACAAGCAAACCAATTTCAGCAATACATTAAAAAGATAATTCATCTTGACCAAGTTGGATTTATTCTAGGAAAACAAGGATGGTTTAACATACACAAATCAATCGATGTGATACATCATATCAACATAATGAAGGACAAAAATCGTGATCATTTGAATTTATGCTGCAAAAAATTTGATAAAGTTAATTATCCTTTATAGTAAAAACTCTCAAAAATTGGTTATAGAAAGAACAATACCTCAACATAATAAAAGCCATATATGACAGACCCACAGGCAGTATCATACTGAATAGGGAAAACAGAAAGCCTGTGCTCATAGATCTGGAACATGACAAGGATGCCCACTTGCAACACTGTCATTCAACATACTACTGGAAACCTTAGCTATAGTAATCAGAGAAGAGTAAGAAATAAAAGGCAGTGCAATTCGAAAGGAAGAAGTCAAATTATCCTTGTTTGCAGATGATATGACCTTGTATTTGAATAAACCTAAAGACTCCACAGGAAAACAATTAGAACTGATAAATAAATTCAGTAGAGTTGGAGAATACAAAGTCTACATACAAAAATCAGTGGAATTTCTACATAACATCAGCAAGCTGAAAAAGAATTTTAAAAATTCCATTTACAATAGATCCACATACAATTAAATAACTCAGAATTAACCAAAGAAATGGAAATAGCTACGATGAAAACTCTAAAACATGGAAGAATAAAATTGAAGAGAACAATAAAAAATGGAAAGATATTCTGTGATCATGGATTGGAAGAATAAATATTGTTAAAATGGTCATACTACCCAAAGTAATCTACAGATTTAATGCAATTCCTATAAAAATACCAGTGACATCTTCACAGAAATAGAAAAAACAATCCTAATATGCATATGGAATTTACAAAAGACACATAATAGTCAAAGCCATCCTGAGCTAAAAGAAAAAAAACTAGAGGAATCACATTTCCTGTCTTCAAATTATACAAGAGATCTATATAACCGAAACAGCATAGTACTCGCATAAAAACTGACACATAGAACCAATAGAACAGAATAGAGAACCCAGAAATAAATCCACACACCTATATTGAACTTATTTTCAACAAAGATGCCAAGAACACACATTGGGGAAAAGACAATATTTTCCATAAGTGATGCTGGAGAAACTGGATAATGGATCCAAAAAAAAAAGAATAAATAAGATCTATTTGACAGCAAAACAGGGTTACCATAGTCAATAATAATTTAATTATGCATTTTAAAAATAGCTAAACAATATAATTGAATTGTCTGTAACACAAAAAATAAATGCTTGAGGGAATAGATACGATACCCAATTTTCTATGATGTAATTATTATGCATTGCATGTCTGCACCAAAATATCTCATTTACCCCATAAATATATACACCTACCATGTACCCCAAATTTTTTTTGAAAATACAATTAACAAACTAAAAAATGAAAGTGAGATAAACACGTTTTTAGACCTACAAAAGCTGAGGCTGTTTATCAAGACTAGACTTAACTTTTAAGAAACGCTAAAGAAAGTTCATGTTGAAATGAAAGGACGCTAAGGAGCAACACAAAAGCATAAAATAGTATAAAACTTGCTAGTAAAAGTAAGTATGTAGACAAAAAGCAGGATCTTGTATTATTATAATAGTGATGAGTAAATTGATTTTATTCTATTATAAAAATTAAAAGAGAAAAGTATTAAAAATCACTATAACTAAATTATGTTAATGAATACATAACACAAATACATGTAAATTGTGAAATAAATGTCACATTAAGTGGGAAGACAGGACATAAAAGTGGGGTTTTTGCATACAGGGAAATTAAGTTATCAGCTTAAAATAGACCATTATAACTATAAGATACTTTATGTAAGCCCCTTGGTAATCAGGAATAAAATACCTAAAAGAGTTATAAAATAAGAAAAAGAAAGGAATCAAAACCAATCTCTACAAAAACTCAAACACAAAAGAAGACAGTAAGACAGAAAGAGAAAAAAACTGTAAGACAAATAGAAAACAGTTAACAAAATGGCAATAGTACATACTTACTAATAATTTAAAATATTAATATACTAAAATTATAATTAAATGAAGAGTGAGTTGATAGATGAAAAAAGATTCAACTGTGTGCTGTCTACAAGAAACTCACTATAGATTCAAGAATACTCATTAGCTGAATATGAAAGGATAAAAAAAAACCTCCGTGCAAATGGCAATCAAAGAAACAAGAGTGGTATAGTTACATCCGGCATAATAGACTTCAAATAAAAAAACTGTTACTAGAGAAAAGGAAGGTTGTAATGTAATGATAAATGGATCAATTCAATAGGGAGATATGTATAATAATTGTAAAATAATTGTAAATATATATGCACCCAACATCAGAGTACCTAAATAAGTAAAACAAATATTTACAGATCCAAAAGAAAAATCAATAAAATAATAAAGATTTCAATATTTCAATGTTAATAATTGATAGATCACTCAGGAAAAATTAATAAACAAACAGAAAATTTGAACCATGCTATAGACCAAATGGACCTAACAAACAGATAAAGAACTTTTCACCAAACAGCACAAGAATACTCATTCTTCTCAGGTGCACACAGGAGAGATTACATGTTAGATTACAAAGAAATCTTAACAACTTTAGGAAGATCAAAATCATGCCCAGTATCTTCCTGACCACAGTGGAATGAAACTAGAAATCAGTAACAGCAGGAAAATATAAGAATTCACAAATACATGGAAACTAACAAACACACTCTTGAACAACCACAGGGTCATAGAGGACATCTAAATGTAATTTAAAATATAGCTAGAGACAAATAAGTATGAAAACAAAACTTTTCAAAATGTAAAGGATTTGCAAAAGTAGTATTAACAAGGAAGTTTGAAGAGATAAACACCTTCATGAAAAATAGAAATATCTCAAACAACCCTATTCTATACCACACATAATTAGTTAAAAAAACTAAATTCAAAGTTAGCAAAACAAAGCAATATATAAAGATCAGAGCAGATATAAATCAAATAACAAATAGAAAAACTCAAGTAAAAATCAACAAAACTAAGAGTTGGTTTTATTTAAAGAAAATAGACAAATTCTTAGCTAGACTAAGAAAAAAAGACGCAAATCAGAACTGAAGAATAGGCATAGCATCAAATGACTCAGAAATAAAAAGCATTATAAGAGATTGTTATGAATAATTATATGCCAACAAATTGGATAACTTAAGGGAATAAAATGTTTTTTTCTTTTTTTGATTTATTATTATTATACTTTAAGTTTTAGGATACATGTGCACAATGTGCAAGTTAGTTACATATGTATACATGTGCCATGCTGGTGTGCTGCACCCACTAACTCGTCATCTAGCATTAGGTATATCTCCCAATGCTATACCTCCCCCCTTCCCCCACCCCACAACAGTCCCCAGAGTGTGATGTTCCCCTTCCTGTGTCCATGTGTTCTCATTGTTCAATTCCCACCTATGAGTGAGAATATGCGGTGTTTGGTTTTTTGTTCTTGCAATAGTTTACAGAGAATGATGATTTCCAGTTTCATCCATGTCCCTACAAAGGACATGAACTCATCATTTTTTATGGCTGCACAGTATTCCATGGTGTATATGTGCCACATTTTCTTAATCCAGTCTATCATTGTTGGACATTTGGGTTGGTTCCAAGTCTTTGCTATTGTGAATAATGCCGCAATAAACATACGTGTGCATGTCTCTTTATAGCAGCATGATTTATAGTCCCTTGGGTATATACCCAGTAATGGGATGGCTGGGTCAAATGGCATTTCTAGTTCTAGATCCCTGAGGAATCACCACACTGACTTCCACAACGGTTGAACTAGTTTACAGTCCCACCAACAGTGTAAAAGTGTTCCTATTTCTCCACATCCTCTCCAGCACCTGTTGTTTCCTGACTTTTTAATGATTGCCATTCTAACTGGTGTGAGATGGTATCTCATTGTGGTTTTGATTTGCATTTCTCTGATGGCCAGTGATGGTGAGCATTTTTTCATGTGTTTTTTAGCTGCATAAATGTCTTCTTTTGAGAAGTGTCTGTTCATGTCCTTCTCTCACTTTTTGATGGGGTTGTTTGATTTCTTTCTTGTAAATTTGTTTGAGTTCATTGTAGATTCTGGATATTAGCCCTTTGTCAGATGAGTAGGTTGCGAAAATTTTCTCCCATTTTGTAGGTTGCCTGTTCACTCTGTTGGTAGTTTCTTTTGCTGTGCAGAAGCTCTTTAGTTTAATTAGATCCCATTTGTCAATTTTGGCTTTTATTGCCATTGCTTTTGGTGTTTTAGACATGAAGTCCTTGCCCATGCTATGTCTTGAATGGTAATGCCTAGGTATTCTTCTAGGGTTTTTATGGTTTTAGGTCTAATGTTTAAGTCTTTAATCCATCTTGAATTGACTTTTGTATAAGGTGTAAGGAAGGGATCCAGTTTCAGCTTTCTACATATGGCTAGCCAGTTTTCCCAGCACCGTTTATTAAATAGGGAATCCTTTCCCCAATGCTTGTTTTTCTCAGGTTTGTCAAAGATCAGATAGTTGTAGATATGCAGCATTATTTCTGAGGGCTCTGTTCTGTTCCATTGATCTGTGTCTCTGTTTTGGTACCAGTACCATGCTGTTTTGGTTACTGTAGCCTTGTAGTATAGTTTGAACTCAGGTAGTGTGATGCCTCCAGCTTTGTTCTTTTGGCCTAGGATTGACTTGGCAATGCGGGCTCTTTTTTGGTTCCATATGAACTTTAAAGTAGTTTTTTCCAATTCTGTGAAGAAAGGCATTGGTAGCTTGATGGGGATGGCATTGAATCTGTAAATTACCTTGGGCAGTATGGCCATTTTCACAATACTGATTCTTCCTACCCATGAGCATGGAATGTTCTTCCATTTGTTTGTATCCTCTTTTATTTCCTTGAGCAGCGGTTTGTAGTTCTCCTTGAAGAGGTCCATCACATCCCTTGTAAGTTTGATTCCTAGGTATTTTGTTCCCTTTGAAGCAATTGTGAATGGGAGTTCACTCATGATTTGGCTCTCTGTTTGTCTGTTATTGGTGTGTAAGAATGCTTGTGATTTTTGTACATTGATTTTGTATCCTGAGACTTTGCTGAAGTTGCTTATCAGCTTAAGGAGATTTTGGGCTGAGAACATGGGGTTTTCTAGATGTACAATCATGTCGTCTGAACACAGGAACAATTTGACTTCCTCTTTTCCTAATTGAATACCCTTTATTTCCTTCTCCTGTGTAATTGCCCTGGCCAGAACTTCCAACACTATGTTGAATAGGAGTGGTGAGAGAGGGCATCCCTATCTTGTGCCAGTCTTCAAAGGGAATGCTTCCAGTTTTTGCCCATTCAGTATGATATTGGCTGTGGGTTTGTCATAGATAGCTCTTATTATTTTGAAATAAGTCCCATCAATACCTAATTTATTGAGAGTTTTTAGCATAAAGGGTTGTTGAATTTTGTCAAAGGCTTTTTCTCCATCTATTGAGATAATCATGTGGTTTTTGTTTTTGGTTCTGTTTATATGCTGGATTACGTTTATTGATTTGCGTATACTGAACCAGCCTTGCATCCCAGCGATGAAGCCCACTTGATCATGGTGGATAAGCTTTTTGATGTGCTGCTGGATTCAGCTTGCCAGTATTTTATTGAGGATTTTTGCATTGATGTTCATCAAGGATATTGGTCTAAAATTCTCTTTTTTGGTTGTGGCTCTACCCAGCTTTGGTATCAGGATGATGCTGGCCTCATAAAATGAGTTAGGGAGGATTCCCTCTTTTTCTATTGATTGGAATGGTTTCAGAAGGAATGGTACCAGTTCCTCTTTGAACCTCTGATAGAATTCAGCTGTGAATCCATCTGGTCCTGGACTCTTTTTGGTTGGTAAGCTATTGATTATTGCCACAATTTCAGCTCCTGTTATTGGTCTATTCAGAGATTCAACTTCTTCCTGGTTTAGCCTTGGGAGAGTGTATGTGTCGAGGAATTTATCCATTTCTTCTAGATTTTCTAGTTTATTTGCGTAGAGGTGTTTGTAGTATTCTCTGATGGTAGTTTGTATTTCTGTGGGATCGGTGGTGATATCCCCTTTATCATTTTCTATTGTGTCTATTTGATTCTTCTCTCTTTTCTTATTAGTCTTGCTAGCGGTTTATCAATTTTGTTGATCCTTTCAAAAAACCAGCTCCTGGATTCATTAATTTTTGAAGGGTTTTTTGTGTCTCTATTTCCTTCAGTTCTGCTCTGATTTTAGTTATTTCTTGCCTTCTGCTAGCTTTTCAATGTGTTTACTCTTGCTTTTCTAGTTCTTTTAATTGTGATGTTGGGGTGTCAATTTTGGATCTTTCCTGCTTTCTCTTGTGGGCACTTAGTGCTATAAATTTCCCTCTACACACTGCTTTGAATGCATCCCAGAGATTCTGGTATGTTGTGTCTTTGTTCTCATTGGTTTCAAAGAACATCTTTATTTCTGCCTCCATTTCGTTATGTACCCAGTAGTCATTCAGGAGCAGGTTGTTCAGTTTCCATGTAGTTGAGCAGTTTTGAGTGAGATTCTTAATCCTGAGTTCTAGTTTGATTGCACTGTGGTCTGAGAGATAGTTTGTTATAATTTCTGTTCTTTTACGTTTGCTGAGGAGAGCTTTACTTCCAAGTATGTGGTCAATTTTGGAATAGGTGTGGTGTGGTGCTGAAAAAAATGTATATTCTGTTGATTTGGGGTGGAGAGTTCTGTAGATGTCTATTAGGTCAGCTTGGTGCAGAGCTTAGTTCAATTCCTGGTTATCCTTGTTCACTTTCTGTCTCATTGATCTGTCTAATGTTGACAGTGGGGTGTTAAAGTCTCCCATTATTAATGTGTGGGAGTCTAAGTCTCTTTGTAGGTCACTCAGGACTTGCTTTATGAATCTGGGTGCTCCTGTATTGGGTGCATATATATTTAGGATAGTTAGCTCTTCTTGTTGAATTGATCCCTTTACCATTATGTAATGGCCTTCTTTGTCTCTTTTGATCTTTGTTGGTTTAAAGTCGGTTTTATCAGAGACTAGGATTGCATCCCCTGCCTTTTTTTGTTTTCCATTTGCTTGATAGATCTTCCTCCATCCCTTTATTTTGAGCCTATGTGTGTCTCTGCACATGAGATGGGTTTCCTGAATACAGCACACTGATGGGTCTTGACTCTTTATCCAATTTGCCAGTCTGTGTCTTTTAATTGGAGCATTTAGCCCATTTACATTTAAAGTTAATATTGTTATGTGTGAATTTGATCCTGTCATTATGATGTTAGCTGGTTATTTTGCTCATTAGTTGATGCAGTTTCTTCCTAGTCTCGATGGTCTTTACATTTTGGCATGATTTTGCAGTGGCTGGTACCGGTTGTTCCTTTCCATGTTTAGTGTTTCCTTCAGGAGCTCTTTTAGGGCAGGCCTGGTGGTGACAAAATCTCTCAGCATTTGCTTGTCTGTAAAGTATTTTATTTCTCCTTCACTTATGAAGCTTAGTTTGGCTGGATATGAAATTCTGGGTTGGAAATTCTTTTCTTTAAGAATGTTGAATATTGGCCCCAACCCTCTTCTGGCTTGTAGAGTTTCTGCCGAGAGATCCGCTGTTAGTCTGATGGGCTTCCCTTTGAGGGTAACCCGACCCTTCTCTCTGGCTGCCCTTAACATTTTTTCCTTCATTTCAACTTTGGTGAATCTGACAATTATGTGTCTTGGAGTTGCTCTTCTCGAGGAGTATCTTTGTGGCGTTCTCTGTATTTCCTGAATCTGAACGTTGGCCTGCCTTGCTAGATTGGGGAAGTTCTCCTCGATAATATCCTTCAGAGTGTTTTCCAACTTGGTTCCATTCTCCCCATCACTTTCAGGTACACCAATCAGACGTAGATTTGGTCTTTTCACATAGTCCTATATTTCTTGGAGGCTTTGCTCATTTCTTTTTATTCTTTTTTCTCTAAACTTCCCTTCTCACTTGATTTCATTCATTTCATCTTCCATTGCTGATACCCTTTGTTCCAGTTGGTCGCATTGGCTCCTGAGGCTTCTGCATTCTTCACGTAGTTCTCGAGCCTTGGTTTTCAGCTCCATCAGCTCCTTTAAGCACTTCTCTGTATTGCTATTCTAGTTATACACTCTTCTAAATTTTTTTCAAGGTTTTCAACTTCTTTGCCTTTGGTTTGAATGTCCTCCCATAGCTCGGAGTAATTTGATCATCTGAAGACTTCTTCTCTCAGCTCGTCAAAGTCATTCTCCATCCAGCTTTGTTCCATTGCTGGTGAGGAACTGCATTCCTTTGGAGGAGGAGAGGCGCTGTGCTTTTTAGAGTTTCCAGTTTTTCTGCTCTGTTTTTTCCCCATCTTTGTGGTTTTATCTACTTTTGGTCTTTGATGATGGTGATGTACAGATGGGTTTTTGGTATGGATGTCCTTTCTGTTTGTTAGTTTTCCTTCTAACAGACAGGACCCTCAGCTGCAGGTCTGTTGGAGTACCCGGCCATGTGAGGTGTCAGTCTGCCCCTGATGGGGGGTGCCTCCCAGTTAGGCTGCTTGGGTGTCAGGGGTCAGGGACCCACTCGAGGAGGTAGTCTGCCCGTTCTCAGATCTCCAGCTGTGTGCTGGGAGAACCACTGCTCTCTTCAAAGCTGTCAGACGGGGACAATTAAGTCTGCAGAGGTTACTGCTGTCTTTTTGTTTGTCTGTGCCCTGCCCCCAGAGGTGGAGCCTACAGAGGCAGGCAGGCCTCCTTGAGCTGTGGTGGGTTTCACTCAGTTTGAGCTTCCCGGCTGCTTTGTTTACCTAAGCAAGCCTGAGCAATGGCGGGTGCCCCTCCCCGAGCCTCGCTGCCGCCTTGCAGTTTGATCTCAGACTGCTGTGCTAGCAATCAGCAAGACTCCATGAACGTTGGACCCTCTGAGCCAGGTGCGGGATATAATCTCCTGGTGCGCCGTATTTTAAGCCTGTTGGAAAAGCGCTGTATTTGGGTGGGAGTGACCCGATTTTCCAGGTGCCGTCTGTCACCCCTTTCTTTGACTATGAAAGGGAACTCCCTGACTCCTTGTGCTTCCCAAGTGAGGCAATGCCTCGCCCTGCTTCGGCTCGCACACGGTGCATGCACCCACTTACATGCACCCACTGTCTGGCACTCCCTAGTGAGATGAACCCGGTACCTCAGATGGAAATGCAGAAATCACTGGTCTTCTGCGTCGCTCATGCTGGGAGCTGTAGACCGGAGCTGTTCCTATTCGGCCATCTTGGCTCCTCGGGAATAAATTCTTAAAAACATACAACCTGCTTAAACAAAATCAAGAAGAAATAGAAAGCCTGACCAACAAGAAAAGATGAAATTGAAATAGTAACCAGAAACCTCTCAACAAAGAAAGCCCAGTGGTATGATTTAGCTCTGTGTCCTCACCCAAATCTTATCTTGTAGCTCCCATAATTCCCATGTGTTCTGGAAGTGATGTGGTGGGAGATAACTGAATCATGGGAGTGGGTTTTCCCATGCTTTTTTCATGACAGTGAATAAATTTTACGGGATTCGATGGTTTTAAAAATGGGCATTTCCCTGCACAAGTTATCTCTCTTTGCCTATTGCCATCCATGTAAGACATGACTTGCTCCTTCTTGCCTTCTGCCAAGATTGTGAGGCTTCCCCAGCCCTGTGGAACAGTAAGTCCGTTAAACCTCTTTCTTTTGTAAATTGCCAAATCTTGGGTATATCTTTATTAGCAGCATGAAAACAGACTAATACAGTAAATTGGTACTAGTAGATTGCAACACTGCTAAAAAGATACCTGAAAATGTGGAAGCAACTTTGAAACTGGGTAATAGACAGAGGTTGCAACAGTTTGCAGGGCTCAGAAGGAGGCAGGAAACTGTGGAAAGTTTGGAACTCCCTAGAGACTTGTTTAATGACTTTGACCAAAATCATGATGATGATATGGAAAATGAAATCCAGGCTGACATGATCACAGATGGAGATGAGAAACTTGTTGGGATCTGGAGCACAGCTGACTCTTGTCATGTTTTAGCACAAAGACTGTTGGCATTTTGTCCCTGTCCTAGAGATTTGTGGAACTTTGAACTTGAGAGAGATGTTTTAAGGTATCTGGCAGAAGAAATTTCTAAGCAGCAAAGTATTCAAAAGATGATTTCAGTGCTGTTAAAGGCATTCAGTTTTAAAAGTGAAACAGAGCATAAAAGTTTGGAAAATTTGCAGCCTGGCTAGTGATAGAAACGAAAAACCCATTTTCTGAGAAGAAATTCAGGTCTGCTGCCTGTATTTGCATACGTAATGAGGAGCCAAATGTTAATCCCCAAGACAACGGGGAAAATATCTCCAGGGCATGTCAGAGGTATTCATGGCAGCCCCTCCCATCACAGGCCTGGAGGCCTAGGAGGAAAACATGGTTTTGTCGGTCAGGCCCAGGGTCCCTGTGTGCAGCCTAGGGACTTTGTGCCCTGCATCTCAGCCACTCCAGCCATGGCTGAAAGAGGCCAACACAGAACTGAAGTCATGGCTTCAGAGGGTGTAAGCCCCAAGCCTTGGCATCTTCCATGTGGTATTGAGCCTGCAAGGGCACAGAAGTCAAGAATTGGGGTTTGTGGACCTCTGCCTAGATTTTAGAAGATGTATGGAAATGCCTGGATGCCCAGGCAGAAGTCTGCTGCAGGGGTGGTGCCCTCATGGAGAACTTCTGCTAGGGCAGTGCAAGAGATGTGGGGTCAGAGCCCCCATACATAGTCCCTACTGGGACACTGCTTTGTGGAGCTGTGAAAAGAGGGCCACTGTTCTCCAGACCCCAGAATGCTAGATCTACTGACAGCTTGCACCATGCACCTGTAAAAGCCACAGACAATCAATGCCAGCCCATGAAAGCAGCCAGGAGGGAGGCTATACCCTGCAAAGCCACAAGGGCAGAGCTGCCCAAGACCATGGGAACCCACTTCTTGCATCAGCATGACCTATATGTGAGACATGGAGTCAAAGGAGATCATTTTGGAGCTTTAAGATTTGATTGCCCCACTGGATTTCAGACTTGCCTGGGTCCTGTAACCCCTTTGTTTTGGCCAATTTCTCCCATTTGGAACAGCTGTATTTATGCAATGCCTGTACCTCCATTGTATCTAGGAAGTAACTAACTTGAATTGATTTTACAGGCTTATAAGCAGAAGGGACTTGCCTCGCCTTAGACAAGACTTTGGAATGTAGATTTTTTAGTTAATGCTGAAATGAGTTAAGATTTTGAGGGACTGTTGGTATGGCACAATTGGTTTTGAGATGTGAAGACATGAGATTTGGGAGGGGCCAGGGGAAGAATGACATGGTTTGGCTCTGTGTCCCCACCCAAATCTTATCTTGTGGCTTCCATAATTCCCATGTGTTGTGGGAGGGACCTGGTGAGAGATCTCTGAATCATGTGGGTGGGTCTTTCCCATGCTGTTTTTTTGATAGTGAATAAGTCTCATGAGATCTAATGGTTTTAAAAGTGGGAGTTTCCCTGCACAAGTTCTTTCTCTTTGCCTACTGCTATCTATGTAAGACCTGACTTGCCCCTTCTTGCCCTCCACCAAGATTGTGAGGCTTCTCTAGCCAATGTGGAACTGTAAGTCCATTAAACTTCTTTCTTTTGTAAGTTTCCCAGTCTTGGGTATGTCTCTATCAGCAGCACACAAGCAGACTAATATACCCAGTATTATATGACTTAATGGCTAAGTTCTTTCAAATAATTAAGGAAGAACTAATACCAATCCTTAAACTCTTTCAAAAAATAGAGGAAGAGGTTACACTTCCAAACTCATTTAATAGAGCCAAAATTACCCTGACATGAATGCCAGAAAAGACACTGCAAGAAAAGATTACTACAAACCACTAACTCCTATAAACATTGATGCAAATATCTCAATAAAACATTAGCAAACCAAATTCAATGACACATCAAAAAGATTGTATGCCATGACTAAGTGGGATTTATCCCTGAGATCTGACTTTGGTTTAAAATATGCAAATCAGTAAATTAGTACAACCACTATGGAGAACAGTATGGAGGCTCCTCAAAAACTAAAACTAGAGCTACCATATGATCCAGCAATCCCACTGCTGGGTATATACCTAAAAGAAAGGAAATCAGTTTATCAAAGAGATATTTGCACTCCTATGTTTGTTGCAGCACTGTTTACAACAGATAAGACTTGGAAACAACCTAAGTGTCCATCAACAGATAAATGGTTAAATAAAATGTGGTACATATACACAATGGAGTACTCTTTAGCCATAAAAAATGAGATCCATCAATTTGCAATAACATGGATGGAACCAGAGGTTGTTATGTTACATGAAATAAACCAGGCACAGAAAGACAAACATTACACATTCTCAATTATTTGTGGGATCTAAAAATCAAAACATTAAACTCACAGACATAGAGAGTAGAAGGATAGTTACTAGATGATGGGAAGGATAGTGGGGGCCTGTAGGGGGTGGAGGCAATGATTAACACGTACAAAAAATAATTACAAATAAGGAAAAGGATCTAGTATTTGATAGCACAAGGGTGACTATAGTCAATAATAATTGTATATTTAAAAAAACTTAGAGTGTAACTGTGTTGCTTGTAACTCAAAGGATAAATGCTTGAGGGCATGGATATCCCATTCTCCATGATGTGCTTGTTTTGCATTTATACCTGTACCAAAACATCTCATGTACCCCATAAGTATATACACCTACTATGTACCCACAAAAAATTTAAAAATAAATAAATAAATAAAATATGCAAGTCAATCACTGTGATACACCATGTTAACAGAATAAAAGATTAAAAGAAAACTACATGGTCATTTCAACAGATGTAAAATAAAGCATTTGACAAAGTTCAATCTACATTCATGATTTAAAAAATCCTCAAAAACTGGTATAGAAGAAACTATCCTCAACATAATTAAGGACGTTTATGAAAAGCCCATTGTTCACATCATAATCAATGGGAAAAAAAACTCTTTCCCTAAGATCCAGTGCATAAAAAAAATCTACTCTTGCCACTTGTTTTTAAAATAGTTTTTAAAATAGAAATGGCCACAGAGATCAGACAAGAAAAAAGACATGTAAATAAAATATGAAAAAGTAAAATGATTACTGTTTGCAGATGATGTGATTCTACACGTAGAAAACCCTAAAGACATCACCAGAAAACACAGAGCTAATAAACAAATTCAGTAAACTTGCTGTATACAAAAATGAACATGCATAAATCAGTTTTTTTTTTGTTCTGCATTTTATTTCCTTAACTTTTTATTTACTCTTTTAAATTTAACTTTTTAAATTCAGGGATACATGGCAGGTTTCTTATATAGGTAAATTTGTGTCATGAGGGTTTGTTGTACAGATTATTTCTTTGCCCAGTTATTAAGTCTAGTATCTATTAGTTATTTTTCCTGATCCTCTCCATCCTCCCACCACTAACATCATGGAGGCCCCAGTGTGTGCTGTTCCCCTCTCTGTGTCCATGTGTTCTCATCATTTAGTTGTCACTTATAAGTGAGAACATATGGTATTTAGTTTTCTGTTCCCATGTTAGTTTGCTAACAATAATGTCCTCCAGCTGCATCCAGGTTCCTGCAAAGGATATGATCTCATTCCTTTTTAAGGCTACATATTTTCCATGGTGTAGATAGGGTTTGGCTGTGGACTCATCCAAATCTCATCTTGAATTTTAGCTCCCATGATTCTCATGTGTTGTGAGAAGGACCCTGTGGGAGCTAATCGAATCATGAGGGTGCGTCTTTTCCATGCTGTTCTCATGAAGGTGAATAAGTCTCATGAGGTCTGATGGTTTCATAAAGAGGAGTTCCTCTGCACAAGCTCTCTCTTTTTGCCTGCTGCTATCCATGTAAGATGTGACTTGTTCCTTCTTCCCATCCACCATGATTTTGAGGCCTCCCCAACCATGTGGAACTGTAAGTCCATTAAACCTCTTTCCTTTGTAAATTGCCCAGTCTTGGATATGTCTTTACCAGCAGCATGAAAACAGACTAATACAGTATATATGTACCACATTTTCTTTATCCAGTCTAGCAAATTCCGTGTCTTTGCTATTGTGAATAGTGTGCAATCAATGTGTGTGTGTGTGTGTCTGTGTGTGTCTTTATGATAGAATGATTTATATGCTTTGGGGCATATACCCAGTAATAGGATTGCTGGGCTGAATGGTATTTCTGTTTCTAGGTCTTTGAGGAATCACCACACTGTCTTCCACAATGGCTAAACTCATTTACGTTCCCATCAATGGCATATAAGAGTTCCTTTCTCTCCACAACCTCACGAGCATCTGTTATTTTTTGGCTCTTTAATAATAGCTATTCTGACTGGAGTGAGATGTTATCTCATTGTGGTTTTTATTTGTATTTCTCTAATGATCAGTGATGTTGAACTTTTTTTCATATGATTTTTGTTTGAATGTAAGCGTTCTTTTGAGAAGTGTCTATTCATATCCTTTGCCCACTTTTTAATAGGGTTGTTTTTTTCTTGTAAATTTAAGTTCCTCATAGATTCTGGATATTAGACCTTTGTCAGATGCATAGTTTGCCAAAATTCTTCTACTCTGTAGGTTGTCTGTTCACTCTGTTGATAGTTTCCTTTACTGTGCAGAAGCCCTTTAGTTTAATTAGATCCCATTTGTCAAGTTTGCTTTTGTTTCAGTTGCTTTTGGGTTCTTCATCATGAAATTTTTGCCCATTCCTAGGTCCAGAATGCTTTGCTTAAGTTGTCTTCTAGGGTTTTTATAGTTTCAGATTTTACATTTAAGTCTTTAGTCCATCTTGTGTTAATTTTTTTATATGGCATAAGGAAGGGGTCCAGTTTTAATCTTCTGCATATGGCTAGCCAGTTATCCCAGCAGCATTTATTGAATAGGGAATCCTTTCCCCATTGCTTGTTTTTATAAGGTTTGTCAAAGATTATCATGGGAAAGGCAAACGAAAACACGGGAGGTCAGCTGACACCTGTTAGGATGCCTACTAACAAAAAGCAAATGATTTTAAGTGTTGGTAAAGGTGTGGAGAAAAGGGACCCTTTGCATGCTGTTGGTAGGAAAGTAAATTGGTACTGCCATTATAGAAAACAGTATCAAGTTTCCTCAAAAACTGAAAATAGAACTACATATGATCAAGCAATCCCACTTCTGGGTGTATACATAAAGTCAATGAAATCACTACCTCGGAAAGATATCTGTTCTTCCATGTTCATCACACTATTATTCATAATAGCCAAGATATGCAAACTACACAAACATCTGTCCATGTATGGATGAGTGAATAAAAAGTTATGTACACACACACACACAGAGGAATATTATTTAGCCTTTAAAAAAAGGGGGTCCTTCCATTTGCAATGACTTGGATGAAACTGGAGAATCATATGCTAAGCAAAACAAGAAATGCATGGAAAAACAAATACTACATGATCTTACTGATATGTGGAATCAAAAAATGTTGCAACTGGGGCTCTCTCACCTGTGCTGAATAAGAAGAAACTCAGATTTAACTCCAATAAGAAAACTGAAGTCACAGGGCTGACGGATCCTCTTTATGCTGCCAAGGAGTGGGGACAATAAGAGAGATGGTAGCTGAATTAAGAATTAAGAGAAGTAGTGTCTGAGGTAGCCTTAATTCCCACCACTGAGGCTGGCAAAGACACTGGTGTTTCTGGTGGATGAAGAACATGTCAGTTTATGTGGTTCGGGTTAAACCATCTTGAAGGCATCCCTACAAAGCTGCACATCAGAGTTTGAGGCTTAGGCGGAGGAGTCTGTGGGTGGAGGGCCAGATAATACACTATGGGTTAGTGTAGGGCAGAGATGTGTCTGTGCAGGAGGTTGTTTCCCTCATTTTACCTCACCCATGCAGTGCCCTGAGAACAACAGATATCCCTCCCAACAGAGCCAGCATCTGGTCCCCAGCAGCAGAGAGGGCTAATAATAATTAAAGGTGTTTTTTTTTTGTTTGCTTTTTTGCTTTTGCTTTTTTTGGCAGCAAAAACTTGAAGTCCTACAAATGTTCCACATTGAAGTTCTGACATCATATTGATTGTCTTGTATATCTCCTGTCCCTAGATGGTTGCTAAGAGTAGGGGCAGCTGAAAAGATGTGGATAGCAGAGGATGAAAGGTAACTTTCCCCCACCCACACCTCTAGGCCACTGAAGGCCCTTCACAAAACTCTGCCTGAGTTTGGATAATAGGGCTTTGACCTAGACACTGACTGAGCTGAATCATGAGTGGAATGGAACTTTTACTCTAAACCAAATTGATTTATTCCAGAGGAAACTAAAATATTTCTGGATAGAACTGTATTCATTCATTTTCAGGCTTACTCTAAATCCACCAGTCATGTTAAGTCCACCAACACCCTACCAATAACATTATCAGAATTAGGGGCTTGAATTTAAAAAAATAAACAATTGGTTAGCAAATATGTAGAAAATATTCCAGGTATGTACACTGCAATATTGCCTTCTCATTACACAAATAATTTCAGACTTAAGCAAATTCCTAGTCCTATGATATTCAAGTACAGATATTCCAAAGGCATTTGGACAAACATAATCCAAAGGAAACATACAAATGACAGAGAGCTAGGTACGGATCACGTCAGACTGGGCTGTCTGTGAGAGAGACAGAGAGAGAGAGAGAGAGAGAGAGAGAGAGTGTGTGTGTGTGTGTGTGTGTGTGTGTGTGTGTGTGTGTAGATGCATTGGGTGTGGAGTAACCGATTGCAGTCAGAGAGCAGAGAACCAAGGGTCAAAACAAGCATGAGTGAGAGAAATAAATATTGAGCCATTCAGGGGGCCATTGGGTCAGCCACATAACCTGAATTCCTGTCCAGCCAAACTCTACTCAGTCTTCTCCCCGTGCAACAGACACATAATCATGCATCTAATTCCAAAGCAGGAACAGTCTTAAGAATTAATGTGGAAAATTTTCTCCTTCAGATTTGTGGTCATAAATTCACACAAGATATGATCAGGATGTTTATAAAGTACATGTTACTCTGGTTCATTATACAAATATTAAGTACATCTTTAAATTTCACCTTAGTGCTTAATTTTCCAGATTGTCAGGTATATATATAAGGACTTGATTTGTAAGCAGTTGTTGTTTCCTAATTCTAAATGTAAAAAAAATTATAATTTACTTCTCTTTATTCACAAACAGAGGCATCACCATGATGTTCCTTTTCCAAACCTCTACAACCTTATACCTGAAAAAGGACTTATACTTTCAAATGATAGTTTCTTGAGGGTTCTAGAGCAGCAGAATCTCCTGCTCTAGAATTCTAATTTAGTAGATTTTAGGCCAGACCTGGGAATATATGTTTTTCAGAAAGTCACCCAGAGAAATTTGAAAACTAAACTCATGTGACTGAGCTAAATATTAGGTGGAACTATTATAAAGTTGACACTTTGTACATAAAATGTTGTCAAGTTTTAACAATTTTATATGGTTCAAATTATGAAGAGTACAAAAAATGCCAACTTTGGGTTCTCAAACTAGACTCTAATGCTTAAAATTTCTGATTCAGTAGGTATAGGATGGTGAGTGGACATTCCATATTTGACAAGCTGTTCACTGTTTAGAGACCATTGATGTGTGACACTGATTTGGCTCCAGATTGATTTTCTGTTATTCATATGTAATTTGTTATTTTGTTTGCCTATTAAGGAATTTTGGAAAGCCAAAATTCAAAAATAAAATGAAATAAAACTTTTCCAGAAACATCTATTGTATTATCTTTCTTTTTTATCTAAGAAGTTGCATTTCACTACCCTGTTCTTGTCAGCTTATTCAATGAAAAGTGAAGATTTCTTTCTGACATTTCTCTTGGGAGAGGAGGTGAAGCAGGTGAAAGTCACAGCACAGAGAACTAATATACTTTTCTTGCATCAGTGAAATGAAGAAGAGCACCTGTCTGCAAACAATGAGAAGCTCAAAATGAGTAGTCATAAACCTCCCAGCCAGAGATCTATCTTAAAGATAGAAGAGTTGTGTTCAAATGGCGATGTGCCAATCTTTTCAGCAAGACTCGTGTGACTTCATACGATTGAAACCATCATTTTAAAGTGCATAGAATAAGACAGGTACTGAGTTAATTACTCAGAAGGAAAAGAAAAAGAAGAAAATATGTGTTATTGTCATGCATATTAATAAAATAAGTTGTAGCTGAAAAAATATATACCACAGGAATAAGGGAAGTAAATTGTTTTAGAACTTTTATCACCAAATCATAGTAATAGAGTCTTCTAGGACCTTATAGGAAAGGGCAGCTGAAGAGTAGCATTTAATAAATTTCTTCTCTATCAGCTAATGTTCTACATATATTTAATCTTCCTGATAACTCTTGAAGACTTGGGTGTATTTTTTTTTAATTATACTTTAAGTTCTAGGGTACATGTGCACAACATGCAGGTTTGTTACATATGTATACATGTGCCATGTTGGTGTGCCCCACCCATTAACTCATCATTTACATTAGGTATATCTCCTAATGCTATCCCTCCCCGCTCCCCCCAACCCCACAACAGGCCCCGGTGTGTGATGTTCCCCACCCTGTGTCCAAGTGTTCTTATTGTTCAATTCCCACCTATGAGTGAGAACATGCAGTGTTTGGTTTTCTGTCCTTGCAATAGTTTGCTCAGAATGATGGTTTCCAGCTTCATCCATGTCCCTACAAAGGACATGAACTCATCATTTTTTATGGCTGCATACTATTCCATGGTGTATATGTGCCACATTTTCTTAATCCAGTCTATCATTGTTCGACATGTGGGTTGGTTCCAAGTCTTTGCTATTGTGAATAGTGCCACAATAAACATACCTGTGCATGTGTCTTTATAGCAGCATGATTTATAATCCTTTGGGTATATACCCAGTAATGGGATGGCTGGGTCAAGTGGTATTTCTAGTTCTAGATCCCTGAGGAATCGCCACACTGTCTTCCACAATGGTTGAACTAGTTTACAGTCCCACCAACAGTGTAAAAGTGTTCCTATTTCTCCACATCCTCTCCAGCACCTGTTGTTTCCTGACTTTTTAATGATCGCCATTCTAACTGGTGTGAGATGGCATCTCATTGTGGTTTTGATTTGCATTTCTCTAATGACCAGTGATGATGAGCTTTTTCCATAGGTCTGTTGGTTGCATAAATGTCTTCTTTTGAGAAGTGTCTGTTCATTTCCTTCACCCACTTTTCGATGGGGTTGTTTGATTTTTTTCTTGTAAATTTGTTTGAGTTCTTTATAGATTCTGGATATTAGCCCTTTGTCAGATGGGTAGATTGTTAAAATTTTCTCCTATTATGTGGGTTGCCTGTTCACTCTGATGGTAGTTTCTTTTGCTGTGCAGAAGCTCTTTAGTTTAATTAGATCCCATTTGTCAATTTTGGCTTTTGTTGCCATTGCTTTTGGTGTTTTAGTCATGAAGTCCTTGCCTATGCCTATGTCCTGAGTGGTATTGCCTAGGTTTTCTTTTAGGGTTTTTATGGTTGACTTGGGTGTATTATTCCTTTTCTTCAGTTGGAGAATCTGACACTTACAGGCATTAAATAACATGTCCAAATTACATAGCATATAAGTTGCAGAACTGAACTGTGAAATGACAAATGGTGATTGGGTCAGTGCTTGAGCACTGTTAACTTAGAACCATATAATTCCTGGTTACTCAAGGAATTGTAAAAGGAACTTGATTTGCGTCATGTTTGTAATAAGCACAGTTAGAAACGTAGAATGAATGTTTAGGTTTATGATTACTTCTTTATAGCTAAACTTTATCTTCAGTTAATTTTATAAGAATATGTGAATGCATTAGATAGATTTGACCTTAAACTTGCCATTTCAGAGCACAGGTAGCAGTCAAATTTTCTTAAAGGTTACATTTCTGTGCAGAGACTGCTAGCTTTTTACCAAAATTCATTATCCTCTTATTTTATGGCCCACCTCTAGTTGGTACTTCCCAGCTGCCCTTGCAGTTAGGTGTGGTCATGTGACTGAATTCTAGCCAATGACATGTTAGGAGACAAGGTGTGTCTTCCCCAGGCAAAGGCTGTAAAACACCCTCCATGCTCTCTTTCCTTTTCCAGCAAATGAGATGATAATGAGGTTTTAGGGAATAGTGAATCCACAAGATGTAAGGAGTCTGGTCTCTGAATCCCTGACCAAGAGCATGTGCTTTGAATTCTTGCATGGGGGACAAACAAAGTTATATTGCATTTGAGCCACAGAACAATATTCACTAACAAAATGTTAGATGATTTTGGATTAAAACAAAATTAAATTCGGTTTTAGTGCAACCTACCTAGTTTAAGACCATGGCAGATAAATTGACTTCTTAGAGTCAACTTCCTCTGTAAAACAGAAATAATATTTTTTATTACAAGGAATTGTTGTAAACAAAAAATTAAATAATAGATATGAATCCACTTTATAATCACTAAGCAAATGGGTAACTTGAAGGAAATAATTTTCAAAGGTATGTTTCATTCTCACACTTTAGGAAAATATTCCTTTCTTTTCTTGGAAAAGCTTTATTAAGATACAATTTATATATCATAAAATTCATGCATTATAAATGTACAATGAGATGTAATATATTTTATAAGTTTTACAAACTCTACCATAATGTAATTTTAGAACTTTTGTATCATCCTAGAACGAAATCTCATGTTTGTTTAAAGTCACTCCCCATTCTACCTCCCAGTCCTAGACAATTACTAATCCACCACCTCAATATATAGATTTGGGATTTTGGGACATTTCATATGAATGGAATCATTCAATATGTGTTCGTTTGTGTCTGGCTTCTTTCACTAAGCATAATGTTTTTGAGGTTCATTCATGTTACAGTATGCATCTGTATTTGTTCCTGCTTATAGCTAAATAGTATTCCACTGTATAGATATGCCAAATATTGCTTATCCAGTTACCAATTAGTAAAAATTACATTGTTTCAAATTTTTAGCAATTTTTGAATGATGCTGTTGTGACTATTCCCATGTATTTATTTGATACTTAGGAGTAGAATTGCTGGGTCAAACGGTAAAACAATTAAACATTTTAAGAAACTGTCCAACTATTTTTCAAATTGGATTACCATTTTACATTCCCATTTGCAAGGTATGAGAGTTTCAATTTTCCCATATGCTAGCCAACATTTGTTATTGTTTGTTTCTTTGATTATAGACATCAGAGTGGGTGAAAAATAGTTTCCTATTATGGGATTGATTTAAATTTCCTGGATAGATAATGATGTTGAACATCTTTTCATATCCTTATTAGCCATTTTATGTTGTCTTTGGAGAGATATGTATTTAAATCCTTTGCCCATTTTTTAATTGGGCTATTTGCCTTGTACAAATTCATCTTTTTGCATATCGATAGCCAATTATCCCAGCACTGATTTTTAAAAGGCTATTTCTTCCTGTTGAATTTTCTTGGCACCTGTGTTGAAAATTAATTGACCATAAACGTGAGGGACTATTTCTGGGATCTTCCTTCTATTCCACTGATCTCTCTATATATCCTTATGTCATGACCATACCTTCTTCATTATTATAGCTTTGTAGTAAACTTTAAAATTCAGAATTGAGTCATTCCACTTTGCTCTTTCTCGGGATATTTTTCACTGTTCTGAATGTCAATTTTCACATGTTATTCTAATTTATTTTTGAGTTGTTTATCGTTAGTGAATGGCCTTTTATTTTGATGTACATTGTTATTTTTCAGATGCTTCATATTGGTTTTATTATCTCCTTTTCCCACCAAATAAGGTGAACTATTTCTATGACATTTGACAAGAGTATGTGGAAAGCTCCTTTCCCAACAATCTGAACAAATGATTATGATCATATCCCTATTTCAGTACAGCAGAAGGCAAATTTGTTGACCTAGCAAAAGAGACATAGTAACTGCATATTAACTAATCTTTTTGAATGATGATAAATAACTCCCAATCCAATTTATATTGGCAAGCACACATACTAAAAGGGAGTTTGTCACATGACTAAGGGACCAGTGACATTTAAGTTCTCTAGCTTTTAGTGTAATACATACATGAATATAAGGAATACAAAATAATTTTTAAAAAGTTATTGAGGAAAAAGGAAATGCTCTGTTCTAGGCGCCTCTTCGTAGAGGCACTTTTGGTGATGGTGTGGATAATAATGATGATGACGACAACAATGTCATTTGGGAAGATTTCTTCCGCTTCCTGTTTCCTTCCTGCAAATAATGCTCCATTGTTATGACCTAGGGTTCCCCTGCACTCTTTATTCATTTTGCCTTTGGGGAGGTTGAATGACTTTTCATAAAGGCAAATTTAGGAAGATCTATTTATTTAGCTACAGTCTCTTCTTCTTGAAAGGGGTTATAGCTGCAGAAGGCAGAGATTCCTTAATCCTCTTTATAAGTTTCTGCAGGTGCCGCCTCATGTGGAAGCTGCTTTGAGGTGGGAGTAGTGGCTTGTCAATCAGTTTAACTAGTGTTCAGGATGAGTTACTAAGCCCTCAGGCCAAAAGTTAGTAATAAAAACAATATTGTGTTCTCCATATTTACTCTTTGTTTCATTTATCTTTTTCATAATCTGTGGATAAAGGATTTTGTTCATTGGAAGCCCATTCAGAAATTTCAATACTAATGATATTAATAATAACAAAAAGAGTAGCTAATATATATTGAATAGTTCTTACATGGCAAACATCACTTTAAAGGGTTACAAAATTTAATAAAATATCCATAAATCCCTATTTTATAAAGATTATCCATTTTACACATGACAAAAAACTCTGAGGCACAGAAAGATACAGTAACTTGTTCAGGGTAACACATCTAACAAATACGAGAGCCAGGATTTAAATCCAAATAGTTTAGCTCCAGAACCTGTACCATTAATGACTGCATTGTACTTATATGTGTGCAATTTTTATCCTTTTTTTTTTTTTGCCAGTGATGAAACAAAGCACAAAGAAGTTAAGTACTTTGCCCACATTTGTACAGGAAATAAGAGATGGAGCTAATAATGAAACATAAACTGTTTACTCTGAACCCACTGTGTTCCTGCAGGTGTAGACTTGTGTTTCTGAGACCCAGAACAGACAGAGGGTGAGGTAAACTCTCCAAGGCTATTAATAATGGCTGTGCAGAAAAGGAAAATAAGGCTCAGAAGAATTCTGCATGGGTTCACCCAGCTGTGTGAGAACTCTCACCAAGGCACTGATCCTATTTTTGCATTCTTGACATTATGTACAGTTGCTCTGCACATTAGAGGAGTCTATTTTGCCTTCATGTTCTTTCTCCTTAGGCTCACTTTCACATTCTTGAAGAGAATTTTTTATGGATTAAAGACCAGTTTAAATAAGGTTTTGCATTTCTATTTGTAGGAAACCAGGGAGTTATAATATTCAGAAATGATTAAATGTTTTGGTTTATATTTGGAGTTTATGTTTTTGCCTTTGCGAAAGAATAACCCATCACCCGCTTTGGTTGCACCACAGTGATTAAAGATGCTTAATGGTAAGAGACTCATTGGAGCTACTGGCAAACATGTACCGCCAGCCCAGGAAGATTAACAGCATGCTTGCTAACCAGTTTTGCTTACCACCAATTATTGAAAAGTAGCCAGCTGTTCTTTTACTTTAACTATTTGTATCTCTTGGCAAAGCTGACCAAACGTCTTCTGCTTTAGAAGGCATAAAAAATATCAAAGTGAAAATATGGAAAGAAAGGCATTATTCAGAGCAAATGTATCTCTTCTTAAAATGTGTATTTTTTATATGAAGATACAAATATATGATGGCAAATGTGCAATACTGAATGAAGTACAATCAAAGAAATTCTATGGAATGACTGCTGTAGAATTTGACAAAGAATTTATTGCTATTTTTGAGGAAGCAAGTGTTATGTGTGTTTCCAAACTTTTATCTGTTGTTTGATAGACACTGTGAAATGGTTCCTTTGGGAGTAGAAAATGTTTAAGAAGATTGATTATCATCCATTTATTTCAGAGTCACAATATTCTATGGCTTCTCCTCTTTCTTCTTCTGTAGCCATTATAAGCTTCTGACTAGCATGCCCTCTTCCAAATCATAATTTTGAATAATAAAGACAAAACAGCATTTCATTTTTGGAAAAATCATGACTTGGTGCTCAAATCAGCAGGGGCTACTCATGTTTTGTTAAGATAATGAAAGAACAGTATTTTTCCTGAAATAACATCTTAGAACATCTTTTCAGCTGTTGCTGTCTTAATATGCCTTTGATTATGCAATCCTTATTTTTAAGGAACTCAGTGTGCCTTACGATATTTTCATTATTCTTCTCAGGGTTTTGGTATTGAATTATAAATGGTATGCCATAAAACATTTTAAGTTATAGGAATAGCTGTTTCCTCCTGTCGATCAACCACATCATATTTCATTTTCATTGTCTTAATTGAGAAACGAATTATCCACATTCCCAATGGAGTTTCAACCTCTGTGCTAAATCAGCCATCAAATAATCCACTTGTATGTAAGTGGAAAAGGATCACTCATATTTACACTCTTCAACATTGTAACTTTATGGTTAGTTGTTTTATTCTTTAAATTATGAAATCCCATAAGAAAAGATATTTATTGCGGGAGGCACCTGAGAGATTAGAAGGGGCTATATAGTAGGTGTAAACTTCTGTTCTGTGGAATTTTTGATTTAATTTTGTAAATTAAACCCTACTTAAATAGCAAATGACCAAATTTTAAAACATGGTAAACTTTTATTAGTTATAGTAATTACTAAACAATCATTTTAATAATATGCGATTATTGTATATAGTATTTACTGAGTATATTATTATGTAAGTGTATATAAAAGGTACAACTGATAGACTGTTCACCAAAAAAGTCCTGATACATTTGTAAAAAAACTTTTAATATGAAGTGACATAGGAATAATTGATTAAATGGCATAGTAACAAATGAAAAGTTAAGATTAAAGTGCACAATTGCACATATGCATTAACATATAGAAAGATAGAAATATATGGAATAAGTTACACATATAACTTAATAAGTTATAATGATACAACTTATTAAGTTATATTTTAAGTTAATTCTTTACATAAAGTTATATATATATATGAAATAGATTCAAGAAGACTTCTCTGTACAGATTTAGATGATGTGTGGGACTGATTCCATGTGGAAAATCAAAAGCCTTTTTATTTATTCATATATTCAACTCATGGGCATCTACTCTGTTTCAGCCTTGTACTGTATGCTAGGTATAGAATATATTTTTCTTTTTTATGATTTCTACTTTCATTTTAGATTCAGAGAATACACTTATAGACTTGTTACATGAGTATATTGGGTGATGCTGAGAATTTGGAGTACGAATGCTGCTATCACCCAGGTAGTGAACATAGTATCCAACAGTTAGTTTTTTAGTCCTTGTCCCCTGCCCTCTCTCCCCCTTCTGATAGAACAGAAAACCAAATACTGCATGTTCTCACTTATACATGGGAGTTAAACATTGGATACTCATAAACATAAAGATGGCAACAATAGACACTGGGAATTATCATAGGTATAGAATATTAAAGAAAACACAGTTCCTTATCTGAATTATTATGTGTTGCTGAATGTAGACAAGCAACAAAAAGGTAGGATATGTTGTTATAAGTGCTACTATGGGAATAAGTAGGAAGGTCATTTAGTTCAGCAACCACTTTAGAAAGATCTTTATTCTGTAGTGTTAAGAATGGCTTGTAGAGCTCATGAAGGTTACGGCAGTTGAGGGTAGATTAGATACAGAACAATCAATTAGGAGGCCATCGCTACTGTTTAGGCAATTGATGAAGAATTTCTGACATAAGGCATTAATAGTAAAAGAACTGGAAGGATTCCAGTGAAGACAAATAGATAGCCTACTAAATGATGCCTACCATAGTACAATGAAGATATTGATAACCAAAGTACATATCATTGAAAAACAAAAGCTCAGTTTTCTGTCACCATAGAACACAGAGAGTAGACTCATAAACTCAAAAGAGTAACCATTTCTATGAGTTTCTGTAAGGTGAAGAGAGAAATAATTTGTTTTTTGAATACAGACAGGATCATGTGCAGGCACGGTCTGTGTTTTGGAGGATGAAAATTGTATGTCAGATACAATTCTAGACCTTCATAATCTTTTGAGGGAGTAAGCACATATGAAAAAAACCTCTTATTAAATAATTAACCTGACAAAATTATGTTAAAAAATCACTACAAGAACACGGAGTTTGAGACAATCAATTCTGATGGGTAAGAGATTTGAGAATAGTCAGATATAACTACAAAGAAGTCGGTATTTGTATTGCTACTTACAGGATGACGAGTTCATCAAATATAACTGCAGTCAAGAATGAGGCAGAGGGGGGAAGATGTAGATAGGTGGATGGTGAGAACAGCTTTCCAATATTCCCGTGAATTCCAGAATATGGTTCTGAAGGGATAGCTGCTTCTCTGTCTAATTTATATTCATATATTTATTATATACATATGTGGCCACTGAAAACAGAATTGGACTTGATATTACAGGTAAATAGTTTTATATTAGTGTTATGTAATTTACTCAAAATATTTTAGCTATAAGTGAACTGCTTGATAATGTTTTATGTATGGATATACATTGGAAATAGTCACCTGTGCTTAGATAAATAATATTCCCATCACCCAGAAGGTTTTCTTATTCTCACTTTGCAGTCGATACCACACTCAACCCACCGCAAATATCTATCACCACAAATTATGTCCACCAATTTTTGAACTTCATATTAATTGAATCGACAGGCTTCTTTCAATCAACATATCTGTGTATTCTTTGTTTTGTAATATTCAAAATATTATATACTGTATTACGGGAATATGACTTAATTTATTCTTCTATTGTTGGATATTTATTTTGTAATAATACTGATATAAACATTTTGTAACTAATGCTTATAATTTTATGTTGCCTTGGCATCCATTTTGAATAAAAGTTTCACTTTCTCATACCAGAGACAGAGCTTAGTCACCATTCCAGTTCTAACCACAAACAAATGGGCTCAAGCTGGTGTCCAAAGACCAAGAACTTAGATGCATCTCTCTTGCCTTGCATGTTGGGCTCCCCACTTTCCTGCCATTTAAAGGGACCATTCAGGCATTTGCCTGAGAACTTAAAGTGATCCACACCCTATTCCCTTACGTATACCACTGGTTCGTTCTGTCTCTCTCTCCCTCTGGCTCTCTCTCTTTGCTTGAGTCTTCATTACTGCCTCACAGGCCCCAGGGAGGGAGGACTACCCTCCCAACTTACAGCATCCTCCTTGCTCAGGATCTGTAAGTAAAATCTTTAAACTTGTTTTTATTGGGTTGGTCTATTTAATTTGTGCCTTCCATGTGAAGAATTAGGGGCTTCCCCAGGCCTGGTTTTCTTGAGGATGTGGGGAGAACAGAAGGTCAGTCTCCCAGCTGCAGAGTGATGGTCTGACAGACATAAACTAGGCGTGGGTCAGACAACCAGGCATTAGGCTGTCCGTCAGATAAAGGAAGTATCCTGAGAAAGGCACACTGCAGACACACACATTCAGCCTCACTTGATTTCCCGTTAGGGCAAAGTTACTAGCTGCTCTGGTATTGGAACACCAGTTTACCTGGAGGCTCTCAAAAAACATCTTCTGAATCATTTGCTTTGAAGTACTACAGCATAGACATTGTGATTTTTATATGTATTGTTAATGTTAGGCTAGCTAAACCTTAGGTGTTGCCAATTGCTATAATCAGGGATTCACATTTTAGGGATTGTCACTTGCTCTTCATTCAGAAAAGCCTCATTTCAGAAGAAATACACATATTTCATTATTTTATTAATCATTATTTCTGGTCACATATTTTACAATTCAATTTTAGATACAGTGATTCACTGGTGAAATTAGTGTCTTGCTAATTAACATAATGAATATGGAAGTGAAGTCTCATGGCAAAACCAGCAATAATAAAAATAAGTAGATTAGCTGAAATATTTTAGGCATATTATAATTGTCTAAATGCACCACTGCACCATTAATTGAACAGACCGTATGCATCTAGCAAGTTCTGTAGCTTGCAAACTTGAGAGAACTGTTTTGGCCTTGATTTTTAAACAATCCTTTGTCCATCTATTGGCATGAAGGATTTTGATTGGCCGATGATAATTATATGTCATCTCTAAGGGTATAGACTCCTATATCTAGAATATTACCATACCTGACTCAAGTAAACTGCTCATGCAACATCAGATCAGTACCAAAAAAAATGAGATAAGGAAATGAGAACTTATCCCACTGAAAGGAGAAGTTACATAAACTTTTCTTCCTTCTTCTAAAGAATATTTATTCACTAACTCTCAGTATGTATGGTAAAATTTGGCCTGATATTTGTTTTCATTATAACCTCTTAGTGTGGTTGTGGGAAATTAGCTTATGTCACCGTTATTTAATTATTGATGACAACCCTTTTTTACTGTCTTCATTTGTTTTGTGTTGCCATAACATAATATCTAACACTGGGTAATTTATAAGAAAAGAGGTTTAGTTAACTCACAATTTCAGTGGCTGGAAAGTTCAAGAGCATGGTACAGGCAACTGGTGAGGGCCATGTGCTGCTTCAAGTTGTGGTAGACAAGTAGAAAGGCAAGCAGGCGTGTGCAAAGAGATCAAACATAAGGAGGAACAACACACTCTCATGGTAACTAATCCACTGGAATGAGAACTCCACAAGATGGCATTAATCTATTTGTGAGGGATCTGCTCCAATGACTCAAACCCCTTCCACTAGGCCCCACCTTCCAACATTGCCACATTGGGAGTCAAATTTCAACATGAGTTGTGGTAAATTACATCCAAAACATAGAATTCACCATTGGCTCCTTAGAATCATGCATGACCAATTTGGCTTAGGTATTGAATTGCTGGCAGTACTTCTTCACCCTTCCCTGTATCTAGGCCTTTGCTGTGCAATTTTGCATTTTCATGAATTTTATCTCCTATCATTCGCTTTAGGCTCTTGAAGTGTTTGCTTTAGCTAGTGAGATGGCAGGAGAACTTATGAAAGCAGGAACTTTAATAATGCCTACGCCAAAATAGGACATATGCCCAAGCTAGCACATTGGTTATGAGTAAATGAACAATAGAAAGCAGAGACTTCTTGGTAATTCAATCTGAAGCAAAATTTCTCCAAATGACCAGCAGATCTGTGAGAATAAATGATTATAAATAAATAAGTTTTGTTTTTGTTGCTTTAAGGGGTCAGGATTACTGAGATACAGTGTTGTAGTAAATAAATTCACCCGTTTTGGGTATAGGGTTTTATGCATTTTGAGAAGTATGTACAGTTACATGATCACCATCACAATAAAGATTTAAAACATTTCTATCAACATTCAACATTCCCTTGTGCCCCATTACAGCCAATTGCCTCCCCTCACTCTTAGTCCCTGGCAACTACTGATTGGTTTTCTGTACCTGGTAGTTTTCAATTTTCCAAACAGTCAAAGTAATGGAATCATATAGTATGAAGGTTTTTTTTTAATTTGGCTTCTTTCATTTAGCATAACACATTTGAGATGTATCTATGTCTTTGCGTGTATGTTCTTTTGATCTCTGAGTATGTATTTATATGTTATATGTATTTAACACAGTCGTGGTTTTATTTTTGTCATTGTTGTTGTTGTTCTTATTTTTTACCATTCACCAGCTGATAGACATTGGGGTTGTTTACATTTGGGGGATATTAAGATTAAAGCTACTTAGCAATATTTACATGTGTGTTCTGGTGTGGGCATACCATTTTATTTCTTTTAGGTAAATACTGAGGAGTAGGATTGCTGAGTTGTTTGTCAAGTGTATGTTTGTAAGAAATTGCCAAGCTGTTTTATGGAGTGACTGAACCACATTACATTCTACCAACAATGTATGAGTGTTCAAATTACTCTGTACATTCAGTAGCTCTTGGTAATGTCAAATTTAGGGGGTTGGGGCTGTCCTTGTTTTGGTTTATTTAGTAATTGCTGTAGGTGTAAAGTGGCATCTCATTAGGTTTTTCATTCAGATTTCTCTAAAAAGTAACAATGTAGAGCTTCTTTCATAAATTTATTTGCCATCCATATTTAAAGTTTTTAATCTTCTTTGACGAAGTATTTGTTAAAATCTGTTGCCTATTTCTAATTGATTGTTTCCTTATTATTGAGTTTTGTAAGGTTTTTATATATTCTGAATTCCAGCCTTTTATCAGATATATGTTTTGCAAATATTTCCTCCTAACCTGTGACTTGTCTTTTGATTTTCTCATCAGTATCTTCCAAACAGAAGATGAAAAAAAATTTGATACAATTCAGTTTAATTATTTTCTTTTATGGTCTATAGTTTTGTGTCCCATCTATGAAACATTTTCCTACCCTAAAGTCACAAAAGATATTCTATGATTTCTTCTAGGTGATTTACAAGTATAGATCATACTTTTAGCTCAAAGACCCATTTCAAGTTAATTTTTATATATGATGTGAGGTAAAGTCAAGGTTATTTTTTTTATAAATCACTGAGTTTTGAGGTGGTTTCTTATATATCATTACTGTAACAGTAAGTTTTCAATATCCTATATTTACATATTACTGTGTCCCCGTATTTATCTTTCTCTCCTCGTATCTATAATTTCTATGTAGGCAGGAAAAGGCTCCCTGATGAAAAACTGTAATGATGATAATCGATTAGCACTTATGCCTCAGAATACATAAGTATGTGAGAACCATCAACTAGTCATCCTCTTTAGGCCATCTAGGGAAAATGGATCTGTAGCATGAGAAAAGGTCCATGTTTTATCTCCTTTTTTTCCATTTCAAAAACCTTATCGGTGCAGAGTGGCATGACACATTTAACTGCAGATGATCATAAGGTTCAGTTTGATATGCATGCTAAATGGCACTTAGCAACAGCTCTCTTGTCAGCTATTGTTTCAAAGAGATGGCTTTCTCAAACATCATTTTTTTCCTGTCGCTTAGCAACACTGCTTATTTTGCTAGTGAGGTACCTGTGATGGATATTGACCTGAACAGAAACACACCCTTGCAAAACACAAATAGAAGAAGAGTCTTTGTTGTGGGGTTCCTAGTTTGGGTCCAGGACTAGCACAAGGCCCTTACTATTGGTGCTATGAAGATACAAATTAATCATCTGGTTTCACTTTTGGTAACATACTTTCTGTGTTTTGATACTGATTGTTTTGCTCCAGCACTGCAAGCCAGCATAATTTCATATGAAGAATCTCTCTGTGCCTTTCCTCAAACTGCCTTTTAGAAAGGAAAATATTCTGTTATATATGTTAAAACATTTGATTCTACTGGAAATTTGGCTCTACTGGAAATATCCTTTTATTACAATCAAAATATTCAAGAGGAGCTGCTTAAAAAATTGTGAGTGTTCAGAAACCTATAAAATTGAACATCCTGACTACTTTAGATGATATGACATGTTCAATAATATTCTGGAAAAATGTGCTACACACTGTTGGCTGTACGCTCTGCAGCCATTCTTCCCATCCCCAGGATTTCTTCCTTGCTGACTTAACTCCCATTAAAGAAGCTAAAAATACCATATAATCACCTTTCTGGCTTTCATTGCACCAGGACATCAGAATGTGACTCAGTCCTGGCCACAGGGATCTGAGAGAGAAGTCTGACTCAGTCTCTGGGAAAGAATTTTTTCCCCAATAAAAATAAACACAGGAGGTACACTTCCTCTGCCCCTAAACATTGTCATTGCATACCCTGTTGGGGAATATGGAAACCATCTTGCAACTATAAAGTGATGATTTTCAATGAAAAAAATAGCCTAAGTGACATATGGAATTACGAGATTTTATTCATCTGAAATAATCAGTGAGTATCTCAAGAATGGGTGACTCCCCAGATCAAAGTAAGATTGTAGCTGTACTGGCTAATGAAGAAGGGGAAAGTACGGGGTACTTTGGTTTGGATCAGGTTGCATTTTTCATCGGATTTCTTGGAGATTATTCTGGTTGTGTTTTTGCTTCTGTTGTTCACACCTCTTGCTCATCAGTGAAATCCCAGAAGAGTGTTTGGAGAGCTGTTTTTCTAAGCCTTGAAGTTTGTCTGTCAACAAAGCTTCAGGAGAGAGGAAGGGGGAAAATGGCATGGGAAAAGGGAAAAGAAATGAAGGAAACTGTATTACTCTGTTATCTGTCTTAATTCTTTTATAAGATTAAACCATTATACCAAAGATGGTATAGTAGGAACATAGGTCCTCATGACATTGCTGAACAGTTGCACCAGCACTGGAGCCATGAAGAACCTTAAAAGGACTCACCTGAGGCCCACTGAAGATCATCTCCCTATCTGAAAGATTAATTGATTTGGAACACTAACTATACCTTGAAAATTCCATCACAGCAGCAACTAGATTCCTGTTTGATTTGATAACTGATTAGATGATCATTGTATGCCAGAGGTGAGGAATCTTGAGAATATCTTAGAATTCTTCTTATTATATAAAGCAGTAAATTTTAGAAGAAATTATAGTATACTATATAGCAACCTAAGTATTGAGATATATATATATATATATTTATTTTTTTGAGGCGGGGTCTCATTCTGTCACCAGGCTGGAGTGCAGTGGCGATCTTGGCTCACTGCAACCTCCAACTCCTGGGTTCAAGCAATTCTCCTGCCTCAGCCTCCCGAGTAGCTGGGATTACAGGTGCCTGCCACCATGCCCGGCTGATTTTTTTTGTATTTTTAGTAGAGACGGAGTTTCACCATGTTGGCCAGGATGGTCTTGATCTCCTGACCTCATGATCCTCCTGCCTCGGCCTCCCAAAGTGCTGGGATTATAGGCGTGAGCCACCGCACCCAGCCAGTATTGAGAGATATTTTAATTATAAAATTTATTCTCAAAATTTTCAAGCCTATGGCAAGGTTGAAAAAGTTTGCAGCAAACATTTATATAACCACCACTTAGATCTAACATCAGTAGTTTATTTGTTTTATCAATATCTGTCTGCCTACCCATTCCTTTATCCATCCATCAGTTTATTTTATTTTCCATGCATTTCAAAGTTGACTGAAGAAATCAATAAATCTCATAAATATTCAGTATGCAAATTGTTAACTAGAGGTCAACATTCACTGGATTTTTCTTTTGATATAAAATTTGATATATAAAATTAGCCTTAATTGTACCATTTGCTAAGAGTTTTTTTCTGTTAGTCCCCGCACCCCAGGTTTATGGAGGTAGAATTTACATATAATGAAACCCACCCAATTGAAGCGTATAGTTTGATGGGTTTTGATGAATACATATGTTCATGTAACCCTTATAATAATTAAGATATAGAATATTTCCACCATCCCAAAAGATTTTCTCTTGATCCTCTGCAGCTAATCCTCTCTCCTCTCACCCTTCCCCCAGGCAATCATTAGGAAGATATTTTAACCAAAATATTAAATGTATAAATAATTGTATGTCAAAAATCTTAAGATAAAAGTTAATAAACAACTTTTTAACATGCAAAAAAACCCACACTAACCAAAAAAAGACAAAGTGGACAGATATGATATTCACAAAAATATATAATCAAATGGGAAGAAGATATTCAGACTTTTTTTCTTTTTTTCTATTATTATTATTACACTTTAAGTTTTAGGGTACATGTGCACAACGTGCAGGTTTGTTACATATGTACACATGTAGTTGTGAAAATACAAATTTAAACGTAATGAAGTATCACTGTTTTCCTATTATACTGTAAACATGTAAAATAAGATGTAGTATTTCTAATGTTGAGAAGATGGAAAAATGGTGAAATGTGAATTATTATAGATCTTTGGTAAAATAATCTGGTGATAGCTGTTAAAATTAAAATTACTGACCAAGACAGGCTAAATATTTCCCTCAGCTTGATTAAACTCTGGATAGGTTTCTTTCTGTCTCTAGACCCCTGACCACCCTCTCACCCCGGCCCTTATGAAATCCAGATGCCATAACCACAGAGGTCCCTCCCTCCCTTAGAGCATTTACTTTTTTTATCTGGTTCTTTAAGCTATAATTTTTTCCCTTTTTAAAAAGATATTTGTTAATTTCTTATGTAGTTCTAACAATTAAAAATATTTTCCCCAGCTTTAAGATATAATTAACAAAATTATATATGTTTAAAATGTACATTGTTATATTTTGATATATTTGTACATTATGAAATGAATCAAGCTAATTAACATATCGATTATCTCATATATTTGTCACTTTTGTGGTAAGATGGGACAGTTTTGAAGTGAGTGTTAAAAACATGCTTGTATTGCCATAAATGGAGCATTAAGGGTGATTCTGTTGAGGCCTCAGAAGAGAACTGTAGGGAAAGTATGAAACTTCTTAGAGATTACTGAATTGGTCATGACCAGAATGCTCGTGGATATATAGACAGTGAAGACTACTCTGATAGTGTTAGAAAGAAATGAGGAAAAAAGTACTGGAAACTGGGGGAAAGGCCATCCTTGTTGTAAAGTGGCAAAGAACTAGGCTGAACTGTGTCCATGCCCAAGGGCTTTATAAAAGACGCAACTTAAGAGCAATAAACTAAGATATCTGTTGGTACAAATATGCAAGCAGCAAAGCATTTAGGGTGCTCAGTGGCTTTTTGTAACTGCATATAGTAAAATTTGAGGGGAGAGCAATGATTTAAATGCAGAATTTATAATTAAAAGGGAAGCAGGATGGAAAGATTTACAAACTCTCAGGCTGCCATATAAAAAGCAAAAAAAAAGCATGTTCAGGAAATAATACCAAGGTTGTGACCAAGTGACTCTTTGCTGAAGAGATTAATATTGGGTAGATGGGAGCCAGATTCTATTTACCAAAGAAATGGAAAAAATGACCCAAAAGGCATATTAGAGATATTTGAGGCAAGCTAAAACCTTGAGGGCAAAGTTTCCAGAGGGGTGTCTATGGGAACTCAGCATTTGCTGCCCAGTGTGGCCTTAAGTGTTTGTCCTTGAATTCCAGTGCAGCAATCCTGGACCATCCAAGCCCAAGGCTCAAGCCAGCCCAGGAGCAGTTCAGGCTACCACTCAGGAGGGCGGCACAATCAGTAAACTTTGACAAAGTTCAGGTGGTGCTAATTCTGCAGGCTCAGAGAGTATGAGTTGCAGAGGCATGATTTCTTCCACTTAAATTTCAAAGGATGTCATAGACAAACTTGAGGCCCGGGCAGAGGCTTGTCAGAGAGGCAGAGCTGCTGCACAGAGTCCCCACTAGAGCAATGCCCGAAAGAACTGTGGGGTTAGGGTCACTTGCAGAGAACTCAGAATGGTCAAACTACCAGCATGCAACTCCAGTCTGGGAGAATTGCAGGCATGAGACGCCCAATGCCTGAGACCAGTTGCATGGGCTAAGTTCAGCAAAACCATAGGGGTGAGGCTGATGGAGGTCTTGGAGGGGGGGCGACCCCCACCCCAGTGTGCCCAGAAGTTGAGAGATTGATTCAAAGAAGAATATTCTCCAGCCTTGAAATTTGATGTTGTTTACCCAGTTGGGTTTTGGACTTAATTGGGATCAGTTTCCCCTTTCTCCTTGCCTATGTCTCTCTTTTGGAATGAGAATGTCTATTCTATGCCTGTCTCATTATTTTGGAAGCATGTAATTGTTTAATTTCACAGTTTCACAGCTAGAGGGAAATTTGCCTCAAGGCAAATATGTCTTAAGTCTCACCCGTATCTGAGTTAGATGAAACTTTGGACTTTATTTGAGTTGATGCAGGAATTAGTTGACTTTTGGGCTATTGGCATGGAATGAATGTACTTTGCAAGTGAGAATGACATACATTTGGGGGGCTAGGGATGAGATGCTATGGTTTGAGTATGTCCCCCACAAAGCATTAGTTGGAAAATAAATCCTAATGCAACAGTTGTGGGAGGTGGGGCCTAATGGGAAACATTTAGGTCATGAAGGTTACTTGCTCACAAATGGATTAATGCTGATGATAAAAGAGTTTGAGGCTGTGGGTTTGATGTCATGGTCTCTCTGACTCTCTCTCACTCTCTCTTTGCCCTTTTGGCATGGGATGACACAGCTAAAAGGCCCTTGCCATATGTGGCCCCTAGATCTAAAACTTCCCAGCTTCCAGAACTGTAAGTCAATATATTTCTGTTTATTATAAATTATCCAATCTGTGTTATTTGGTTATGGCAGTACAAAACAGACTTAGACAATACTTTAAGTAAAAGACCATGAAATGAGACATAGAAGGTCATTATATATTGGTAAAGGGGTCAATTCATCAAGAGGATATAATAATTATATATATAATATATATATCCAACATCAGAGCACCTAAATATACAAAGCAAATATTAATATTAATACCTCTAAAGAGAGAGATAGATTGCAATATAGTAATAGTAGGGGACTTCAATACCTCACTTCCAGTAATGGACAGATCATCCAGAAAAAACAAATCAATACAGAAACATTAAACTTGGACTACACTTTAGAACAATTGGCCTTAACAAGACATATTCAGAACATTCCATCCAACAGAAGCAGAATATACATTCTTATCAAGTACACATGGAACATTCTCCACGATATTATATGTTAGGCAACAAAACAAATCTTAAAATATATGAAAAGATTTAACTTATATCTAGCATTGTTTAAGACCATAATGGTATGAAACTAGAAATCAGTAACAGGAGAAATCTTGGAAAATTTTTAAAAATGTGAAATTTATACAACATGCTCATAAACAACTGATGGGCCAAAGAAGAAATTAAAAGGGAACTTCAAAAATGTCTTGAGACAAAGGGAAATAGAAACACAACATACCAAAATGTATAGGATGCAGCAAAAGCAGTTCTAAGGGAACTTTATAGCAATTAATGCCTACACTGAAAAAATATATATACCCTAATTAAACAACCTAACATTTTACCTCAAATAACTAGAAAAAGGATAACAATCTAAGTGCAAAGTTAGTAGAAGGAAGGAAATAAGAAATATCAGATGACAAATAAATAACATAGAGACTTAAAAAACAATAGAAAATATAAAAACAGGGTGTTTTTCTGAAAAAAAAATATACAAACTTTTAGCTAGACTGAGAAAAAAGAGAGAAGTCTCATATAAGTGTCAGAAATGAAAAGGAAGACCTTACAACCAATACCATAGAAATACAAAGAATTATAGGACACTTCTCTGAACTTATACACAAACAAAATGGATAACCTAGAGGAGATGGATAAATTTCTAAACACATACAATCTGCCAAGACTGATTCATAAAGAAATAGAAAATCTGAAAAAAACAATAATGAGTAAGAAGATGAAATCAGTAATGAAAGGTCTCTCCTCAAAGGAAAGCCTAGGACTGGATGGCTTCATGGCTGAATTCTACTAAACATTTAAAGAACTAGGAGTTTCAGCCAACAGGGCTGACAAGTTGGAGCCAGGAGGAACACCTGTCATTGAGAGACTAGAACATGGAGAAAACCAGCACACTCCAAGCAGATCTTCAGGGGGAAAGTATTGTGAGCAAAAACAGAAAGGGCACAGGCATCGGGCTGAAGCTGGGGGAAGCTGGGAACTCTGCATGGGGATACCAAGCACCAGGACTCATTCCTGGCCCCTAGTGATTCTTGGGGAAGAGGTGAGTTGAACAAGGAAACATATATCTGTCCACATATGTCTGGAATCCTGGCAGCAAGAGACTCCACAACCCCCATGAACACTTGAGCTGGCAAAGAGACTTGTTTAGAGAGGTGATAGGGGCAGGACTCCAGCCTGTGTGGAGTCTAGAGGATTTGGTGTGGAAATGTTTGCAGTGGAGCACAGCCAGGAGTGCCTATCCCCCAGTAGCACTGATATGGTTTCACTGTGTCTCCACCCAAATCTCACCTTGAATTGTAATAATCCCCATGTGTCAAGGGCAGTAGGGCCAGATGTAGATAATTGAATTCTGAGGGCCATTTCCCCCATACTGTTCTCATTGTAGTGAATGAGTCTCACAAGACCTGATGGTTTTATAAATGGGAGTTCCCCTGCACAAGGTCTTTTGCCTGCCACAATGTAAAACATGACTTTGCTCCTCATTTGCCTTCTGCCATGATTGTGAGGCCTTCCCAGCCATGTGGAACTGTGAGTCACTTAAACCTCTTATAAATTACCCTGTTAGGAAAAAGCTGAGTGTTGGGGGAAAAAAAGCTGAGGCAGGGCTTGCTTGTCTGACATAATGTCCAGGGCTCAGGGCATAAAACCCCTCATGACCTCTGGAATGAGTCTAGATTTGCTGGCTCCTTGCTTCTAGCTTAAACTAGAAGAACATGCTCCCCATTGTCTCAAGTAGCAGAACATGCTCCATATGCCTCAAAGGAAATGCTAAACCATCACAGCTGTAGATCAAGCACTTGCCCTTTCACCCCCACATTCTCACCACCTGTTTCTTTGTTTGATCAACAGTAGATAGTCTGGGCTTCCAGAGCTCAGGACCTTCGCAGCCTCCATACTCGTGTTGGCCCCCTGGACCCACTTTCTCTCTCAAGCTGTCTTTTCTCATTCCTTTGACTCCAGTGGACTTCATCACCCCCACGACATGGTGTTGGGTCTGATCACCCCAACATTACCCGGTCTTGGGTATGTCTTTATTAGCAGAATGAGAACAGACTAATACATTCACCACGCTCCTCTAGAAGACTGCAGCATTGGGGTGACAGTTGAATGTGGACAGAGCAAGCGACTGCCCTCGATTATGAGTTGAGGCCAGTCCGATCTGAGCATTCCTCTGTCTGCTGGCCCCTCCTGGGGTCCTAGTCTGGCTACAGGGCAGCCTCAGATACCCAACCAGGGTGCTTCCCAGGGGCCCTCAGACTGTGTCAGAGAGCTCCATGAGCATTGCTTGCAACAGCCTACCTACACCCTCCCCAACTGTGACCTCTCTCATGCAGCTTTGCAGCATACACTAGCCCAGAAGCCACCCCTACTACTGATTTGCTGGCATGCACATGCTGATGGACCTTGCCTCCCCATCCCTGCTGGCCCACCCCTCACCACCCACTGCTGCCAGGGTGAGATCGCCCCACCACCCACCTACCCACCTCCACAACCCTCTAACCCCCATCCACTAGTGACATGCAGGGACCTGACCATGCCACCATTGCTGGCATTAATGTAGGCACAGAGGTCTGAGGCTCTGCACTCAATAATGCTCACCTCTGTTGCCACTGATGCCAGTGAGAGTGCAAATACAGACACCATCAACCCTGCCCTTGCCAGCACCCCACCACCACCATGCCACCACCTGAGTGCAAGTGCACACAGGAACACAACAGCCCAACTCCCACCAGTACCCCTCCCCAACTGACACACAGGTACCCCACCACACTGCTGCAGTTGCTGGCACATGTGAGCAAGTACGGATCCCACTGCCACTGCCCCAGTGAAGCACTTTGGCTGGCTCCACCCATCAAAATGTTGTGGCCAGCAGATCAGGAATGCTTCAGCTCTTTAGTGCAGCAGATTTCTACAATAATCAAAATAGCATGGTACTGGTACAAAAACACACAGACAATTGGAACAGAATAGAGAGCCCAGAAATAGTGCCATACACCTATAACCATCTGATCTTTGACAAAGTCAACCAAAACAAGCAACTCGGAAAGGAATCTCTATTGAATAACTGGTCCTGGAATACCTGACTATCCATATGCAGAAGATTGAAACTGGACCTCTTCCTTATGCCATATACATGCATGTGTATGTTCATCACCACACTATTCACAATAGCACACACATGGAATCAATGTAAATGCCCATCAGTGGTGGACTGGATGAAGAAAATGCAGTATATGTACACCATCGAGTACTACAGAACTGTTAATAAAAATGAAATCATGTCATTTGCAGCAACATGGATGGAGCTGGAGACCAATATCCTGAGGAAGCTAATGCAGAAATAGATAATGAAATAACACATGTTCTCACTTATAAGTGGGAGCTAAATGATCAGAAGAAATGGACACAAAGAAGGAAAGTTGTTTGTATTTCTGTGGGTTCAGTGGTTATAACCCCCATATCACTTTTGATGGTGTCTATTTGATTCTTCTCTTTTTTCTTCTTTATTAGTTTAGCTAGCAGTCTATTTTATTAATTTTTTTTAAAAAGAGCTGCTCCTGGATTCCTTTGTTATTTTCTTGAAGAGTTTTTTGTGTCTTTATCTCCTTCAGTTCCACTCTGATCTTGTTTATTTCTGCTAGTTTGGGGTTTGTTTGCTCTTGGTTCTCTAGTTCTTTTAGTTGTGGTGTTAGGATGTTGATTTGAGATCTTTCCAGCTTTTTGATGTGGGAATTTAGTGTATAAATTTCCCTCTTAACGCAGCTTTAGCTGCATCCTAGAGATTCCGGTATATTATCTCTTTGTTCTCATTAGCTTCAAAGAACTTCTTGATTTCTGCCTTAATTTGATGATTTACCCAGGAGTTATTCAGGAGCAGGTTGTTCAACACCATGTAATTGGGTGGTTTGGGTGTGTTTCTTAGTCTTGAGTTCTAATATGATTGCACTGTGTTCTGAGAGAGTGTTATAATTTCAGGCCTTTTCATTTGTTGAGGAAAGTTTTACTTCCAATTATGTGATCAATTTTAGAGTAAGTGCCATGTGGCAATGAGAAGAATGTATATTCTGTGGTTTTTGGGTGAAGAGTTCTATAGATATCTACCAGGTCCACTTGATTCAGAGCTGAATTCAGGTTCTGTGTATCTCTTTCCTTTGAAATTGCCATTCTATGCCAAACACTTAACTTATGGCCAGGAACTAGCAATGATTTGAGGACTACACTTTACAAAACACTGGTGTAGGGTTTAAGTTAGGTTTTATGTTTGTGAATTCCATTGTACAATCAATTTACTTTATTTATTCTTAGATAATGTGTGGTTAACAAATGTTTGTGGCAATTATGAAATTTAAAAACATGGAGCAAGCACATCTAATAAAGGACAAAGCAGGCAATTTATTTATCATTTTTTTTATTTACTGGGACTGCAAACTGACATCTGACACCCATTTGACAACCAAATATACAAAGTAAATTTTTGACTTTTTAAAAATTGACAAATTACATTGTACGGTTTTATCATGTACAACATAATGTTTTGAAGTGTATAGGCATTGTGGAATAGTTAAATCTAACTAATTACCAAATACATTGGCTCACATGGCTATAATTTTTGTGGTGAAAGCTTCAGCTTATAGAGCAGAGATTTTTTTCTTCAGTGCTTAAAAGATTTAAAATTGAACAACTTTAGATAGGGTCATATTCTCCTGATCTGTTATTTGCTTATTTCTTCCCTAGACCCAGTTTGGCTCTTCCATGAAGTATGTTACCATCTTGTACCTTAAAGTCATGGTTTGGGATCTCTGGTCTCTATTATGTGCATACATTATTTGTGAACATCAAAGTTTTGGATGTATCAGTTATGTGTGTGTGTCTGTGTGTGTAGAGAGATGGAGAGACTAGAAATCATGTCAGTGCCCACATCTAAAACAAGCTTCTCTTTTAGGCAAGCTGGCAACTACCACACCCTGAAAGAAAATATTTACTTTCTCAGTGATTTTCATTTTTAAAACAAAGTTGCAAAATCTCTGAACTACCTCAAAACAAAGCTTTTGTTGTTGCTTCTTATTTTTACTAAGAGACCGAGAAAGCCAGTTGGTACCATACAAATGCATGTAAATCAGTGAGAACTCATCATTGTAAGGCTTTGTGGATATAAGTACTATCATATTCCTTTTTATTTCTTCATCTTAATGTCTAGTGAAGCTAGGAGTAACTGATATTTTAGGGCAGGCTGACAAGGCAAGGGAGAGTGTTGAAAGTTTTAGTCAAGCATGAGAATGCCTTTTAGTTTGAGGCCTGCTGGTAGGCAAAGCTGGTGAGCAACTCCAAATTAGAGTCCTAGTGGTGTAATCTAAAATGTAGGGAACAGGCAATCAATTATTAACATGATACAAAGATTATGGAAAAAGAATCTGGCCACATCAAAGTACTCAGAGAACTAATCTATCTAGCCTTTTGTATAAGGTGCAATGGCATGACCAAAAAGTTTACCCAAAGGCATGCATAAGGGGTGGTATAGATGAAGCTCCTTTTTTAATTCCTAATCTCACACGAAGTCATTATTCCTGCACTCTTGTATAAATCATCCTATTCAAGTTAAGATTAAGTCACTTAGTTATGTTCTCCTATATCCTTCAAAATTGCTATCATATAGAGACCCACTACAAAACCATATGCATATTTGTATATACCAGTATGATTTGAAAGCCTGGGAACAGGAGGGTAGAGGAAGATCTTGAGGCTGGGATTTAGCTAGGAGCAAGGGCCTTCAGGATATTAGCAATAGACTGGTTGGAGTCTCTGGGTTTGAAACCTTGGTTCACAATGTTCATTTCATTTCTTTTTTTTTTTTTTTTTTGAGACGGAAATTCGCTCTGTCACCCACGCTGGAGAGCAGTGGCACGATCTCAGCTCCCTGCAACCTCCGCCTCCTGGGTTCAAGCGATTCTCCTGCCTCAGCCTCCCAAGTAGCTAGGATTACAGGCGCATGCCACCATGCCCAGTTAATTTTTGTATTTTTAGTAGAGACAGGGTTTCATTGTGTTAGCCAGGATGGTCTTGATCTCCTGACCTCGTGATCCACCTGCCTCAGCTTCCCAAAGTGCTGGGATTACAGGTGTGAGCCACCACGCCTGGCCCACAATGTTCATTTCTATCCTCAATTCCACCAATAGTTTGGCAGTTTTTTATTCATCTATACTCTAGGCTTACAATTCCATGATTCCTAAAGCATTCACCTCCCTTCTATCATAGCAAATTATGTTCATAGCCACACTCTGAACCTTGTCACTACTAGCAACTATTTTACTTTTTAAAGCGATGAACTAACCTTTTACTCACAGTCATAGTGCTTCCTTACTCCAGTTTTGAACCCAACATTACCTGTGATCTTAACTCTTCTATCACCTCTCAACACTTTAGGTTTCTTCCCTTTATTCTATCTAATGTGAACCACACGGCCCGTCATCCCAACCAGTCTAGTGATAATACTCTGAAGGCTCTTGGTTCTACCTAAATCCCAACCTAAGTGTATGCCCAAGCTTTCAAATGTCACTGAAGAAAAATCCAACATCCACCAAGACTGGAAATATTACAAATACATTATTTCCCCTTTTAGCTCAGCTTTGCCCTTAGTATTGCTTGGCAATGTATTTATGTGTCCCAAGAAGTTGTTTCTGCCATTGCTTGGAAAAATGTTTCAAATACTCACCTTTCTCTACAATTCCCTAATCTCAGTATATTGCTTCCCCAATGTATCCAAAATGAATACATAGTTATTATCCTATAGTTGCAAATATATCTTTAAAATCTTCTTTACATTTTGATAAATCATGATCCTTCCACTGCCACTAAGCTTCTTGAAAGACAATTCTGGTCTATCACCTGTTTTTTATCTTCCATTCACTTTTGACCTCCTGTAACTTGAATCTAAATCTAAGCGGAGCTGTGGTTTCATGGCCATGATGTCATAGAGGAATTCAGCTTCCTTTGGAGGTGTTAGTGGCTACGGCCATGGCTTTCTAGTTGAGGCAGATCCAGCTTGTGGTGTGCAGCAGTTTCCTCACTAGGTGAGTTTTCAGTAGTGTTCCTATTTCTAGAAGTTTGTCTTAAAGTCTGGTTCCCAACCTCTCAACATTTTTGTGAACTTCCCAAAATCATTTAAATTAATTTCTCATTGTTTAAATAGCCAGAGTCAACTTTTATGTCTTAAAATTAGGGCACTTTGCTCATAACATTATTTCTAAAAAACTATTTTAAAATAATATTTTGTAAGAACCAAATTGACAGGGCACTTACTGGTTCTAATAACTTTTTTCTCACTTCCCTTGGCTTTAGAAAGATAATCTTTCTAAAACATAAATCTGACTATATGATTTTCCTTGAAGACCTCCTCTTTGCTTTCAGGATAGAATCTAAATAACATGCTTTTACATTTAAAACTCTTCAAGAGATGGCTGCTACCTAGTCTCTACTTTCCTGTTCAAATATAGTGGATTGTCCACCCACCTCCATTGTTAATGATGTTCTTGAATTTTTGTTAAAGTGTATTCTTCTAACTCTAGGCTTTTGTGCATTTATCCACATATGTCTGGAAGGATGTTCCTTCCTTCTTCCTTCTCGCTAACTCTTTTTGTTCCAAACTTGGCCAATATTTTTACTTTCGCTGAGTGGTTCAAGATATCTGAGCACCGTGTCCTACCTCTGACCCCTACTTTTATCCCAGTCGAGATTAAATTTCCTTCAGCTCTACTCTATTGTAGCGCTTACTTCTTATACAACATTTCTACCTTCTTGTGTTTCCCCTCTAGATCCTCCTGGTATATGGAGCAAACCATCAGGGCACACGTTTACCTATGTAACAAACCTGCACATCCTACACGGGTACCCCAGAACTTAAAAATAAAAATCAAAAAAATGCAGGAAGTGTATATTTTCAAATCTGTTCTCCCAGCATCTATTTTTGCATCTGTCCAACAATAGGCACATAATAGATAGCAACTAAATAATGTTACTTTCTCCCTTTAAGATACCATTGACCTAATGGCTAGGTGTCTACCCAATGCTAATAAAGATTTTTAAGAGATTTTTCATCTTCTGAATTTTACAGGCTGAAATGGCACGGATAAAAGCTCCCATTATGGGAGTTAGTTAAATTATTAAGCTGAAGCTATAATGTGGCTTTGCTACATATGAATATGTGTCTTTTTTCACCATATTTATTGTGTTTTACCTACAAAACTCTTCATTTGTCTAGAATTGTTTTTATGATTACCATATTGTAAAGGGAACCCAGGCACAGTTTTGACAAAAAAAATTTGATTCAGGGGCTTGACTCTCACGTTGGGGTCTTTGGGATCACTTCATGGTCCTAATGTCAGCAAGAAGATGATGAAATTATATCTGCAACAATTTGCAAGTGAGTGATTCTATAGAATGAATTTTTTAAAACTCTCATAAAAACACCATTTCTTTCAGCTATTTGATTTTATAGACACTTATCCTTTTACATAAAGAAGAGCATGTAGAAATACTTTTTTATTAATGTGTTTAAGCTAAATAATTAATTCTACTATATTCTACAATTCAAAATAAACAAAAGCATCTAAGTCACAAGGTATTCTTTAAATTGATATTGGTTGTAGGAAGGTCCTCTTAAATCTGCATTTTAGATTTAACAAGCAGAATATTTAATTAGAAGTGATTTTGGGAGGAGAAAGGAAAGGAAAGAAGCAGATGGAGAAGGTGAGCTGTAATGCAGAACCAAAGAGCATCTTGGCTGTCCCATGGGAAGTCCTGGAGCTAGACATCTCAGCATTGACCCAAGTTGAGCTGAGATGACCAGGCTTTTATAGTCTCATGTACATCAGCCATTGGATATAGTCCAATGTGGGAAGAAGCTTGACCTTGGGTAAGGAAGCTCTCTGAAACAAGGTGATCCCTCCAGGGCTGCTATCCAAAGGCTGTTTCCAGGCAGCCGAACCAGAAAGTTTTTCTATGCAGGAAGATCTGGGTGTTCACACAGCCTTTACCAGTCTGGAACTACTGATTTTGCTCTCTGCCATATTCTCTCTCCATTGCTCTGTCTCAGTTTCACAATATCCCAGGCTGCAAAGCCAAGAGGAATTCAACCCTGTATGATCTCAGCAGATTATCCTTACCAGGAATGAGAAGAGTGTATGTTTTCATAGCCAGTTGGAAAGGGAGATATTTGGGTATGTAGTGCTTCCTCAGAGGTCCTTCGTGCTAGTAAATATGCATTTCTATAAAGATGCCCTTTTTGAATGTAGATGGAGAGTTATTTTTTCCCTCATCTGAGATTTTCCCAGAGAAGACTACCCTGTTTAGTCCTTTCGTATATTAAAGCTTCAGTTCCCTCCTTACTCCAGAGAACTATCTGTTTCTCAGAGTAGCACAATGATCTACCAGACCAGGAATCTTGCAGTAAACAATGTGTTATTGTGTTAGTTTATCTCCTATTCTTTATTTCTTATATATTCACTGTGCAAAGAGTGAGCCAATTTTCATCTTTCATTTCAATAACCACAGTTCATATGTAATCAGAATTAAAAGATAAAATTATCGTACTCCTTTTGTTTGTTTGGTATCTAGTTTTGTAGCAAGAAAAGAAACATTTAAGAAAATGAAATAAAAGCAGATTTACCTTTTTATTGGGCAAAGATATATTTCAAAGGGCTCAGTGGTCTAGTCAGACATCTGGTGAATTGAATTCGTCAAACAATTGCTTCCAAACACAAAGTAGCAATAGTCATTTTGCAAGAACATGACCAAATACAAAGATAAATATTATTAAAATTAGAATCATTGTCTATAGTGGCAACAAGGATAAGCATGAAGAAGGGAGATAGAAGAAAATTAGGCAAGAGAGGGCACTTTCCCAATCTAAAGACAAATATGTGCCATGAACTGAGTATAATGAACTCAATTCTCTGTACTTAATCTTTAAAAAAATGAACAAATTAGAAAAAATAAGAAGTTGAGGTATGATTTAAATACCTTACTAAACTATTTCCAGAACATTCATAGAACATAATACAGTCAGAGACTTGTTTAGAAGTTCTCTATGTTGCATTTATGTGATCTGATTTCCCTATTCCTTTTTCCTTCTCAGATGGAGAGGTCTCTTCTACATTTACCATCTAGCTTCTGTTATTTTTTGCCAATTCAAGAAAGAAAGGTCCTTTCTTTCCCTTGTTTATAAGTTCTATGAAACCCTCTAGCAAGTAGAGCTGTTCTAATGATCAAGTTTGGAATTTGAACTACCCATAAATCTGCAACATTACATAAGCTAAAAAAAAAAAAGCCTACTCTCCAATGCGAATGCTCCTACTACTCTACATTTAAGTGGCCTCATAGAGAAGGCACTCTGTTACTTCAGCACTAATAAGCCAACAGACATTGCAATTATGCTATAATGAATCTGAAGCAAAACTAGAAAAAGTGGACTATTTGCTGAAACTAGCCTCCAACAACATATGTTGAATGACCAGTGCAGAGTTTGACAGACATCGCAAGTACAAATGTGATTTCAATAAGCATATATAGGAATGGGTCTGAAACAGGCAGTAAAAAATGTTTTCTGTGTCCACAGGGACACAGGGAGGGGAACATCACACGCCAGGGCCTGTCAGGGTAGGGGGCTAGGGGAGGGATAGCATTAGGAGAAATACCTAATGTAGACGACAGGTTGATGGGTGCAGCAAACCACCATGGCACATGTATACCTATGTAACAAACCTGCACGTTCTGTACATGTATCTCAGAACTTTAAGTATATGTATATATATGAATGCCTTCAGAAATGCTAGGAAATCAGTGGTGCCTGGAGACAGGCAATTGGTGATAACATAGTTTCTGGAGATTTCCTTCTTATGCCTAATTTAACAAATCATTAAAGGTACATAGAACAAAATCCAGCCTCCGTTTTGTCTGCAAAGAGCTATGTAGAATATCAGAGCTCTAAGCAAATAGATCTGCTATTTGTGTAAGTTTTTGACTACTGCAAATAAAGCAGTCATGAACGTTTGTGTACAGACCTTTTTGTAAGCTTGGAATGGTTGGGTTCTATGTTAGGTGCCTGATTGTTCAATTTTTCAGTATTTGAGTTATTTAAACTATATTTTATTACTGATTTCTAATTTTAAAAATTATTTTGTAGTTAGATAATATACTACTCTGTATGACTTCAATTCTTTTAGGTCTATTGAGATGTATTTTATGTCCTAGAATATGTTATATCTTCTTAAATATACCATATGCACTTGAAAAACATGTTTATTCTGCAGTTGTTGGATGTAGCGTGCTCTAGTGTCAATTAGACCAAGGTGATTGAAGGTGTGGCTCAGATCTGTATTTACTGTTATATTTCCTATTTTATCTGTTTTTTTTAAATCAATTGATGAGAGGTAGGTGCCAAAATCTCCAACTGTAATTTTACAAATGTCCATTTTCCCCATCAATTTTGTCAACTTCTGTTTTATGTATATTGAGGATATATTATTTTGTGTATCTCATTTATAATTGTTACATTTTCCTGATGAATTATCTCTTTTTAAATTACAGAATATTCCTCTTATCTCTGTTAATGCTCTTTTATTTGAAGTCTCTTATAACTAATTTAAAAATAGCCACTTCACCCATTTTATTTAGAAATATATACACTTTGGATATTAACTTTCAACTTAGTTTGATTATGTTCAAAGTTCATGGATTGAATGATACCTTTTTTTAGAAATTTATTTTAAAATATTACAAAAGCAATATTTGTTTATTGCATGATTTGGGGAAATATGGGGAAAAAAAACAAAAAATTACATATGCACACAAACACAATGGAATCATTTTATATTCTGTTTTGTGGTCTGCTCTGCTCTCTTCAAAAATTGTGAGTCACTTTGCTTTTTATTTCTTTTTTAAAATTTCTTATTTTAATTTTTGTGGGTACATAGTAGGTATATATATTTATAAGGTACATGAGATGTTTTGACACAGTCATGCAATGTGTAATTATCACATCACGTAAAGTGGAGTATCCATCCCCTCAAACATTTATCCTTTGTGTTACAGACAATCCAATTATACTCTTTTAGTTATTTCAAAATGTAGTATTAAATTATTATTGACTGTAGTCACCCTGTTGCACTATCAAATACTATGTCTTATTCATTCTTTCTATTTTTTTGTACCCATTAATCATCCCTACCTCTCCCTTATCTCTCCACTACCCTTCCCAGCCTCTGATAACCATATTTCTACCCTTATCTCCATTTTGATTTTTAGATTCCACAAACAAGTGAGAACATGCAATGTTTGTAATTTCTGAGACTTGCTTTATGGCTGATTTCAAGATCATATTGTTAGACACATGTTTTTATGTAATATAGTACATTAAGCTTTGAATAGAATAATTCAAAACTTTTATGTATTTATTGAATTTTTGTTTACTGAACTTACTAAAATTAAGATCAATATATTGTAATTTTTCAATAAGATGGTGACTATGTCTGTATTTCCATCAAGTTTTTCTCTACATATTTTGGTACTGTTTTGTTAGGGATATATACATTTTTAAACCGATATACATATACACAACCATTACCTATAATTACAAAATAACAAAGGCTCTGAAAATTGAAAGTTTTTTCAAAGGTTTGGCATCAAGACTCATTCAAACGAGACTGACCTGAATAATCTTCAGCCATCAGTATGTCTCATCTCTTCTATCAACACATAGACTTCTGCTGTTTGTGTACATTTTGTTGTTTTTAAAAATTTAGTGATGCTTCACTATAATTCCTCTGTAAAGACATTTTGGAAGTTAAATACTCTTATGGGTAAGAGTAAGCAGAAGATAGAGAAGTAATTGTTACATATAGCATGAAAATTGTAGTTGCTGCAGAATCTTCATGATGTTGTGTTTGTGGCATCTTACAAAAAAAATGGTATGGAAAGTGTGATGGTTAATACTGAGGGTCAACTTGATTGGATTGAAGGATTAACATTTGAGTCAGTGGACTGGGAAAGGCAGACCCACCCTTAATTTTGGATATGTGCAATCTAATCAGCTGCCAGCATGGCTAGAAAATCAGCAGGCAGAAAAATGTGAAAAGAGAGACTGGCCCAGCCTCCCAGCCTACATCTTTCTCCCGTGCTGGTTGCTTCCTGCCCTCAAACATTGGATTCTGAATTATTCAGTTTTGGAACTTGGACTGGCTCTCCTTGCTCCTCAGCCTGCAGATGGCCTATTGTGGGACCTTGTGATCATTTGAGTTAATACTTAATAAACTCCCCTTTATATATATCTATTCCATTAGTTCTGTCCCTCTAGAGAACCCTGGCTAATACAGAAAGTACATCAACCATATGTGAATTAAAGAAGAAAATTCATAATGTCCAGGTTTTTATTATCCAATGGAATTGTTTATCATTTCTTTTGTTCAGCCAACAAATTAGACTTTCTAGGAAATATCTGACACATTTCCTGCCTTGAGTTTTTTTTCCAGGAAAATACCAACATTGAAATGAATACTACCATAAAATATGCTTGGATAAGTGCTATGATTAAAAAGCCTACACAAAGTAATTTCAAGGCTAGGAGTTTAATCTAGAACAACAGAAAAATGTTCTCAAGTAGATAAGTTTATCCTGGGTGCCTCTTCATGTCTCATTCTTATTCATGCTTTTTCCTTGTCATTATTTTTATTTGTTTTATTTGTGAATAGGAATATAATGCTGAATATGAGAGACATGGTCCCTCTCTTTACGGAGTTTATAATTCAAAGACTACGATACAGCTACCTTGTCTCAGAAGCAGTTTGTGTTGTTCTTGCTTTTTAAAAAGGTTTAAATGACAGTAATTAACCAGAACAGAAATTTTTAAAAATATATATATTTCACTAGCCCAAAATGAAAATTGTACCATGTATTGAAAGAATAAATTTAACAAAGAATTAGTGAGCATATCCCTCATGGCAATTTGTTAGTCATGAAACAAGCTAAAATATACCTTATAGAACTGAACATTTTAGAAGAGTATAAATATTTGAAAGTCATGCCATAGAACTTTAGAAGGCATCATAGTGGAAAATATTTGAGAATCTGTTGTAGTAAATATTTTACTAATCATGAAGTATCTGAAAGTTTGACTTATGAATTTTCTAATAAAATATCTGATGAACAAATTTACATACTGATAAAACAGTTCTATATTGCTATAGTCCTGGAGAACAGCTCTATATTGGTGTTACATTGTGGGATGTGGGTGAAGCCAGGGATTAGGGTGGAAAAGTTGATAAAAGTTTGGGAAGCTGAACACACATTTACTGATTGGGTGGGCCAATCAGTACTATTTAAAAAAGAAATGAAGTTAGTAGTTATTGGATAAAACCAACATGTTAGAGCCATATAGTCCATGTATGTGATATCTTGCAAACAGCAAAGCACAGAAAACTAGATGAATATTTGCTTATTGGTTTAATAATCATTTAAGTTTTAGTTTGCCATTACAGGCAACCTGGATTGGAAGAGCAAAATTTTGCAAAATTTTATTGCTCTTGAAAAATTCTCTGATGTCCTTCCTGAACTTTTGTTGGAATATGACATATTCAGAATGTACTTTTTCCCTAGTATGATGTTGACCGCACAGCTTATCAAAAGGAATTTTACATTCTTATAAAGAACAAGTGGAAATTCTTCTTAAAAACAAAACAAAACTTTGGTCTGCAATAAAGAGCTCTGAAAAATTGAGGAGGAGAAACTCTTCCCTAACTCATTCTATGAGGCCACCAATTATGCTGATACCAACACCTGGCAGTGATTAAAAAAAAAAAAGAAGAAGAAAATAAAACTTCAGGCCAATATGCTTGATGAACACTGGTGAAACAAATCCTTAACAAAATACTGGCAAACCAAATCTTGCAGCACATCAAAATGCTAATCCACAAAGATCAAGTAGGCTTTATCCCAGGGATGCAAGGTTGGTTCAACAAACACAAATCAATAAATGTGATTCATAACATAAACAGAAGTAAAGACAAAAACCACATGATTATCTCAATAGAGGCAGAAAAGGCTTTTGATAAGTTTTATTACATCTCATGATAAAATTCTCAATAAACTAGGTATTGAAGGAACATAACTCAAAATAATGAGAGCCATCTGTAACAAACCCGCAGCCAACATCATACTGACCAAGCATCAGCTAGAAGTATTCCCCTTGAAAATTGTTACAAGACAGGGATGTGCTCTCTCACCACTCCTATTTAACATAGTATTGGAAGTCCTAAACAGAGCAATCACACAAGAAAAAGAAATAAAGGGCATCTAAATAGGAAGAGAGGAAGTCAAATTATCCCTGTTTGCAGACAACATGATTCTATATCTAGAATACCCCATGATCCTGGCCTAAAAGCTCTTAAGCTGATAAACAACCTCAGCAAAGTCTCAAGATACAAAATCAATGTACAAAAATCACTAGCATTCCTATGCACCAAAAACCATCAAGTGAGAGCCAAATCGAGAATGCAATCCCATTGGCAATTGCCATAAAAAGAATAAAATACCTAGGAATACAGCTAACCAGGAAGGTTAAATAACTCTACAATAAGAATTACAAAACACTGCTCAAAGAAAACAGAGATGACACACACAAATCCGAAAACATTCCATGCTCATGGATAAGAAGAATCAATATCAGCAAAATGGCCACACTGCCCAAAGCAATTTATAGATTCAATGCTATTCCTATCAAACTACCAATGGTATTCTTCATAGAACTAGGAAAAACTACTTTAAAATTCATATGGAACCAAAAAAGAGCTCAAATAACCCAGACAATCCTAGGCCAAAAGAACAAACCTGGAGGAATCATGCTACCCAAATTCAAACTATCCTACAGGGCTACAGTAACCACAATAGCATGGTACTGTATAAAAACAGACACATAAAACAATGGAACAGAATAGAGAGCCCAGAAATAAGGCCACACACCTACAACCATATGATCTTCAACAAAGCTGACAAAAACAAGCAATAAGGGAAGAACTCCCTATTCAGTAAATAGTGCTGAGATAACTGGTTAGTCATATGCAGAAGATTGAAACTGGACTTCTTCCTTACACCTATACAAAAATTAACTCAAGATGGATGAAATACTTTAATGTAAAACCCCGAACCATACAAACTCTATAAGATAACCTGAGCAATACCATTCTGGACAAAGGAACTAGCAAAGATTTGGTGACCCAGAGGCCAAAGGCAAAAACTGACAGATGGGACCTAATTAAACTAAAGAGCTTCTGCACAGAAAAAGGAAACTATCAATAAACAGATAATCTGCAGAATGGGAGAAAATATTTGCAAACTGTGCATCTGACAAAGGTCTAATATCTAGCATCTATAAGGAACTTAAGCAAATTTACTAAAAAAAAAATTCATTAAGAAGCAGGCAAAGTACATAAACAGATACTTTTCAAAAGAAAACATACATGTGGCCAAGAAGCACATGAAAAAATGCTCAATTTCACTGTTCATTAGAGAAATGGAAATCAAATCCACAATGACATACCATCTGATACCAGTCAGAATGTCTATTACTAGAAAGTCAAAAAATAACAGATGCTGGCAAGGTTGTGGTGAAAAAGGAATGCTTATACACTGTAGGTAGGAGTGTAAATTAGTTCAATCACTTGGAAAGCCATGTGGTGATTTATCACAGGGGTAAACACAAAACTACTTATGATTCGATCCAGCAATCCTATTAATGAGTATATACCCAAAGGAATATAAATCATTCTGTCATGAAAAACATGCAGGCATATGTTCATTGCAGCACTAGTCACAATAGCATGTTGATCAGCCTAATCAGCCTAAATGTCCATCAATGGTAGACTGAATAAAGTAAATGTGGTACATATACACTACAGAATACTATGCAGTCATCAAAAAAGAATGAGATCATGTCCTTTGCAGGAACATGGATGGAGCCGGAGGCCATTGTCCTTAGCAAACTAATGCAGGAGCAGAAAACTAAATACCATGTGTTCTCACTTATACATGGTAGCTGAATGATGAGAACACATGAACACATAGAGGAGAATAACAGACACTGGGGTCTACCAGAAGGTGGAGGGTGGGAGTAGGGAGAGGATTGGGAGAAATAACTAATGAGTATTAGGCCTAATACTTGGGTGATGAAATAATCAACAAACCCCCATGACATGGGTTTACCTATATAACAAAGTTGCACATGTATCCCTGAACTTAAAAATTAAAAAAAAATTCAAAAATCTATACTTTTCACTAAAAAAAAAAAACATTTGTCTGAATTTTGAAAGTATATGGAAATGTTACAATCTATTTTCTAAACTAGTTTTATCTTTAAAATTTCACGTATGATTCCTGGGCAAGATGGCTGAATAGGAACAGCTCCGGTCTGGAGCTCCCAGTGACA